>NC_000014.9:52338985-52642016 GCF_000001405.40 Homo sapiens
GACCTACACACACACATACCACCACCCACCAACAACACTACCAATACTAACAACAGCACCACCAACAACACAACCAATATAACAGCACTACCAATACTAACAACAGTACCACTAACACCAACAACACTACAAATACTAACAACAGCACCAACAACAACACAACCAATATAAGAACGCTACCAATACTAACAACAGTACCACTAACACCAACAACACTACCAATATTAACAACAGCACCAACAACACAACCAATATAACAACACTACCAGTACTAACAACAGCACCAACGACAACACTAGACTTACTACCAATATAACAACACTACCAGTACTAACAATAGCAACCTAACCAATACTAACAACAACAATACTAACACTAACACCATCACCAACACTACCAGTACAAACAAGAGCACCATCAGTGCTACCAATATAACACTACCAATACTAACCACAACAGCAACACCACCAATACTAACAACACTACCAATACTAACAACACTCACCAACACTACTAATATTAACAGTACCACCAACACACTACCAATGCTAACAACAAAAAACTACCAATACCAACAACACTAACACCAACACCAATACCAACACCAACACCACCAACAAAACTACCACCACCAACAACAGCACTACAAATAGCAACAACAATACCAACACCCTCACCCACCCACCACCCCTCCCAACATCATCACCATATTTGTGTTTGCCTGATGACTGTGACAGATGTTACCAACAAGTCTGAAGTTGACTGGAGAGCCTGAGGAGCCCACTGAAGCCAGAGGTGTTGCAGCTGATTGAACCTATGTTGTGTTCACAGCAAGAAATCCCCAAAGAAGTAGTGACTGGAGTGACTGCCCTACCTGTCTCCATCCATCCAAAGACATTTGGAGGCATTCATGTATGTATTTCCCCCAGGTAGTCTCACTGCTGGCTCTCTCATTTTGTTCAGGTCTCTGCTCAATGTCACCTCCACAGATAAGTCTTCCCTGGTCTATATAAATATAAAAAATATAAATCACTCGATAAAATATTTTCATTACTCTCCTTCCCCTTCCCCTCAGTCTGTTTATTTTTCTTTCTATCACCCTTCTCACTAGCCGGCAATATAGTATCTGTGTCATCATTTTGTGTGTGTGTGTGTGTGTGTGTGTGTATTTGTGTGTGTGTGTATGTATTGTCTTTCTTTACACATAGAAAAAAGTCTCCTATCATGGCGAGGCCTTTGTCTTTTTTTTTTTTTTTACTATTAGAACAATACCTCATATAGTGGGTGTTCGATAAATATGTTTGAGTAAACAAATACATGAATCAATCAACCAATCAATCAAACTGTCAGCCAGCACTTTAGGGGCAAATAACCCTAACTTTTAGTTGAGGCCAAAGGTCCTTGGAAAAATGAAATATTCCCATGTTTGCTACAGGGAAATTTACAAAGAAAAGAAGACGACTTCAATAGAGTTCACGCAAAAAAAAAAAAAAAAAAAAAAAAATCCCCAAAGCAGCCTTCACTACAAAGCTCTTAACACACACTTATAAAAGCATATATTTCTGTGTTATTTCTTTCCTGTTTATTTTCATGACTGAGTTTTTTCTCATGAAATAGGTTTTTAGGAACAGAACCCCACTCTGTAACACTGCAACTACAGGACTTCGCAGTCCAATCTGTGACTGTTGTCTAGGAACCAATTCATTCCAAAGTCATCAGTTTCCCCACATCACTGGATTTCCATCATCCCCAGAGTTAAGATCCAAGCCCCTTGGTGGTCAAACAAGGATGGGCTGGGTCCACTCACTTCCCCATCTCATTTCAGGCAACACCTGCTTCCTCCCCTCAGTGCTGAGATACTTCCAGTTTCCCCTCTCCATGCCTGGGTTCCTGCTGCCCCTCAGACTGCAGCACCTCCATTTCCCTGTGCTGCTACGCACTTAACCACTCTTAAGTCTCTGAGGAAGGTATTCCTGACTTGCACTTCCTACCATGACCATAATGAAAATCAAACGAATTCAACATTGTAATCAATAATACGTTTGCAACCCTTTGCTAAAACTGTTCAGAGCAAGTAAAACTAATATAATGGCCCTGCTTTTTCTCTGATGCTGTGTATTCTCTGAAGACATATCTCTGAAATGTTTTCTTCATAATATTCTGAAAAAATTCACCCTATTCCATATCCACTGTAGATCCTAAGATTCTAATTATGATAATATAATATTCATCTCTCCGAATACCTGTGGAAGTATACCATGATCCAAGCCTGTAAAAGAAATTAAATACAGGTGGAAAAATAAGCCTTAGACTAATTATTTTTCCCTCTGCAGATAATCTTACAAACAGCACCCAGCTTTTAAGAAATGGCAAAAAAACAAAGCAAAACGAAACTTAACACTGATTTAGTCAGGCATATCTCTGTCAACTCATTCTATCAACTTTTAACTCAGCAAGAACTCTAAACAAGGAAGCCCAGTTTGGTCAGTCACAAAACTGTATATTATTTCATGAAGATTTTCAGAGTATAAGTGATATCTCAGAAATAATGGTGTTATATCTAAATACATCATTTTACATGAAATTTTCTCAAGGCAAAACAAAATAAAATGGATCTCTGATAAGCATTTGCATTTCTTATGCCAAAAAACAATACCCCAGGGGCTAAAACTAGAAGCTATAGTTTGAGTTTCCTAAGAATTCAAGATAAAATATCAAATAGTGACATAAATAATAAACTCAGCCACATATGTTACATTAAAAAACTTTTTAGTAGGCTTCCACTTTAAATGTTGATCCCAAAGTCTTATTTTACATTCAGATATTTATTTCGAGTGAAGAATTTTGAACTAAGAATAATGACCAACGTGGGCATCTAGCTTTGGCTGAAAATTAAACAAAAGAAAAATCAGCAAATACACACATAAGAGAACTTGTGCTTTGATTGTGAAGCGGTCATTATGACTGTATATTGCGTTTCCAAACATCAGTAAATAACAGTGTTCACTGAGAGGATTCTTCTCCAGAAATGAAAGTGTTGATTGAAAGGCTTCTTCTTCAGACTTATCTTTGGAAAGTCCTTTGAAAATCAAGTACACATGCGTAAATACAATTTTTTTTCTTTTTTTCTGAGATGGAGCCTCACCCTGTTGCCCAGGCTGGAGTGCAGTGGCATGACCTCGGCTCACTGCAACCTCCGCCTCCCGGGTTCAAGTGATTCTTGTGCCTCAGCCTCTGGAGTAGCTGGGATTACAGGCGTGCACCACCACACCCAGCTAATTTTTGTATTTTTAGTAGAGATGGGGTTTCTCCATGTTGGCCAGGCTGGTCTTGAACTCCTGGCCTCAAGTGCTCTGCCCGCCTCAGCCTCCCAAAGTGCTGGGATTACAGGCGTGAGCCACTGCGCCTGGCCCAGTTGTATTTTTTGTATCCTATGTACTTCCGGAAAGGATTTCAGGAAAGTTACAATGGTAAGTCACCTATGCAACACAATAATCATGTACAATTATGTATTTCTAGTTATATATATGAACTAAATGAAAATAAACTACTCTTTCCTTAATACCACATTGCCTGTCTTTTGTGTTGATGATATGACAGACATTTGTTATCTAATCCCAATAAGAAGAGAAAAAAAACTCAACTGCTAACGGTGAGGCATTCTAGAAAATGTAATGGACAATGTCCAATATTGGAACAAAAGAAATGCTCTTCAAATGTAGCCTTAATTAACAGACCTTTATTAAAATTTTTAAACTTGGCCCAGTTCAGGTATTCTGTATACACAGACAAGACAATATGATATATATAATAAGATACTTTCTGACTATCTAGCAAGACAACAATCATGGTGGCTTTTTATTGTGTCAATGTAGTTAAGCTACAACTGTTTTCCAGAGCTCCCTTCTTTTCATGGTTTTGGGTTCAGGTTGGCCACAAGAAAAATGTTTGCCAGAATTAGAAGGCAGTAGTAAAGCCTCAGCCATGTTTAAGCTCTGAAGGGCAACGTTAGGTCAGGTAACACTGTGGCTCATGCACATTGTTAGATTTGCTGACTCATCTTGTTGGCATGGGAGGGCAATGGCTGGGCCCCCAGCAACCCATCTCCTCCCAGATCTCCATGGGACAGCAGCCTGGCCCACTGCATCTCCAACAGGAGCTAGATTGCTTTCTTCAGCTTTTTTGAATCCTGCACCAGGTTCATGTGCTGTGCCAAGTGAGTGCACCAGGTCTTCTGAAGGTCACTCACATCATCAAGGGGGTGGTGGGAGCCCAATAAAAGATATCCTAAATAACTATCCTAGATATCCAAGGCTGATAAAAGAGATCCTAGAAAAAGATTACCCTATCATTGAGATTTATCTGGCTTCTGGCTTCCTTCCAAGATATTTTTAGCTTCATACCATAAACAGGGCATGTAAGGGTGAGTCTACCCACTTTCCCAAGAGGGCTGTCTTTTAGGCCAAGGAAAACAAATGGTAAAAAGGTGAGGGATCATTCTAGAAAGATCTTTATAGAACTGACAGAGTAAAAGAAGTGGCTAGGTTTCACAATTTGGACAGGCTATCCCTGGAACAGTACACATTGTTTCTTTATTCACAATAGAAAAAAAAAATACCTACACATACATACCTACAAAGCCAGTTGACCAGAACAAGAAGGAAATACCTTAGAAAATGCCTTATTCTATTGGCCTGGAAACCTAACCAATGAAGTGAGACAAGAAACAGAAACACATATGAGAGTTAGAAAGGAAGACACATTGTTTGTAAATAATGATTGTCTGCATGGAAAATCCACTGGGCACTTTAAGCAAATGATCGGAATAATTTTTTTTTTAAGTTCAGTAGGTTTGCTGGAAAGATCAACTTGGAAAAACCTATAGTGTTCCTACACACAATGACAAATGAGAAAATATAATTTTTAAAAATTTATACCATGAACAGCAAAAATTACAAAGTAGCTTGGAATAAATATATCAAAAGATGTGAAAGATCTTTATGGAGAAAATTACACTACTTTATTGAAAGGCATAGAAGACTGACCAAATGTACAGTTATATTACTTTCATGAATGGAAGACCCAATAATGTACAGATATCAGTTCCAACCAAATTTATCTACAACATCCAAGCAATCGTTTCCTATTGCTCCTGCAACAAATTTCCACAAACTTAGTGACTTAACATTTATCACCTCAGTGTTTCGAAGGGCAGGAGTTCACAATGAGAGCTGCAGGGCTGACATCAAGGTGTTGGCCCAAACTGTATTCTTCCCAGAGGCTTAAGGTGAGACTTTCCCTTTACCTTTTCCAGAACAGAATTAAAAACTAACATTGTACGATTATCTCAATAGATGTAGAAAAAGCATTCAATAGTATGCAGCATCCCTTTATGACAAAAACCCTCAAGAAACTAGGCATAGAAGGAGCATACCTCAAAAAAATGAAAGCCATCTGTGACAGACTCACAGCCAACGTCACGCTGAATGGAGAAGAGTTAAAAGCATTCCCCCTGAGAAGTGGAACAAGACAAGGATGCTCACTTTCACTACTTCCATTCAACATAGTACTGGAAGTCCTAGCCAGAGCAATCAGGCAAGAGAAAGAAATAAAGGGCATGCAAATTGGAAAAGAGGAAATCAAACTATTACTGTTTCCCAATTATATGATAATATACATAGAAAATCCTAAAGACTCCTCCAAAAAAACTCCTAGATTTGATAAATGAATTCAGTGAAGTCACAGGTGACACAATCAATGTACACAAATCAGTAGCAGTGCTATACACAATGACCAAGCTGAGAATCAAATCAAGAACTCAATCCCTTTTACAAAAGCTGCAAAAAAAGTAAAATACCTGGAAATATACTTAACCAAGGAGGTGAAAGATCTCTACAAGGAGAACCAGAAAACACTGTTGAAAGAAATCACAGATAACACAAATAAATGGAAATATACCCCATGCTCATGGACTGGAAGAATCAATATTGTAAAAATAACCATACTGCCAATTCCTGTCAAAATACCAATATCATTTTTTATAGAATTAGAAAAAAAAAACTCCTAATATTCATATGGAACCAAAAAAGAGGCCAAATAGCCAAAGCAATCCTAAGCAAAAAGAACAAAGCTGGAGTCTTTTCCAGCTTTTAGAGGCTGCTTGCATTCCTTGGCTGATGGCCACGTCACTCTGACCTCTGATTCCATCATCATATCTTCTTCTCTGATTCTGACACTTCTCCCTTTTTCTCATAAAGACCCTTCTGATTACATTGGGTCTGCCTGGATAATCCAGGATTATTTCTCTATCTCAAGATCTTTAACTTAATTATATCTGAAAAGTCCTTTTTGCCATGCAAAAAAGAAAGGTTCTAGGGATTAGGATGGGACCTCTTTGAAAGAGGGTCATTACTCTGTCTGCCACATGAAGACAATTTTGAAGAAGAACCAGGAGAGGGTCCTTGCCATACTAGATACTAAGATTTATGATAAATCTCCCGTAATTAAAATCAGGTTGTATTGGAAGAGGCATAAGTAACGAGAACCCAGAAAAGGGCTATCATATATGGGAACTTGGTATATGACACAGGTAGTTTTACAAATTAGGAGGGAAAGCCAATAAACACTGTTGAGACCATTAGTTGTCCATGTAGGAAAAAAGAATTAGCTCCCTAACTCATCGTATATATAAATCAGTTCCAGATAAATTGTGTAGACATAAAGGTGAGGAAAATATTAAAATACTGGCAAATAATTTTATGACCTTAAGTAGAGAAAAATTTCCTATAAAGACCCCCAAAGCACAAATGATAAATTGTATACATAAAAATGTAATACTATTCCACAATAAAAGACACCATGCATAAAATAAAAAGACAAGCCAGAAACTCTAAAAGATGTTTGCCATCCATGTAGCCAAAACCAAACCATTAATATTGAAAATACAGAAAGAATGTCTATAAATCTATAAGAAAGTCCAGTTATATAAAAATTAAAATAGATCAGAGTCCTAAATCTAAGAGCTAAAACCATAAAAAATCTTAGGAATAAAATACGGGTAAATCTTCATGACCTTGGATTTGCCAGTGGTTTCTTAGATACGACATCAAAAGTACAAGCACCAAAAGAAAAAATAGATAAGTTGGACTTCATAGAAATTAAAAACTTTTGTGCATGAGAGGACACTATCAAGAAAGTAAAATGACAACCTATAGAATGGAAGAAATATTTGCAAATTATATATTTGATAAGGGTCTAGTATCCAGAATATATAAAGGGCACTTAAAACTCATCAATGGAAAAATGAACAACTCATTTAAAAATAGCAAGGACTTGAACAGACGTTTCCCTAAAGAAGATATACAAATGGCTAACAGGTACATGAGAAGATGATCAATACCATAAGCCATTAGGGAAGTGTAAATCAAAACCATAATGAGATACCACTTCACATTCACTGCAATTGTGTTAACACTTTTTTAAATGGAAAATTAGTGTTGGCAAAGTTGTGGAGATATTGGAACTTTCATAAATTGCTGATAGAAATGCAAAATAGTGTAGCTGCTATAGAAGACATTTTGGGTGTTTCTCTAAAAACTAAACACAGAATTACCACATGACCCAGCAATTCCATACCCCCCAGAATTGAACAGGGACTCAAACAGATACTTTTTAACCAACGTTTATCAGACTACTATGAAAGGTGGAAACAACTGAAATGTTCATTAACTGATGAACGGATAAATAAAATGTGCTACATATATATTACATATATGCATAATATATTATGTGTAAATATTATCTATATATACATATTATGCATATTATATACATACACATACACCTCAATATTATTCAGCCATAAAAAGGAATGAAGTACTGATACACACTACAATATGGATGAACCTTGAAAACATTATACTAAACGAAAGAAGCCAGGCAAAAATGACCATATAGTGTATGGATCCATTTATACGAAATATCATGAGTCAGCAAATTTATAGCGCTAACAGCTTAGTGGCTTCCAGGATCAGAGGTGGGAGGAAAATGGGGAGTAACTGCTTAATGGATATGGGTTCCCTTTTTGAGTGATGAGAAGTTTGAGTGATGATGGTTGCACCGCTAAATATCACCAATGGTAAATTTTATGCTATACATATTTTAACACAATAAAAAAGCACAGGTGATAAACTGCATACGTCAAAATGTAATACTCCTACACATTAAAAGACACCATAAATGATGTAAAAAAGATAAACCACAACTTCTTAAAGACCACTGCCACCCATGTAGCCAAAAAAGCATACAAGATTATAAAGTGAACGTCTATAGCTCTCTAAGAAAATACAAACAACACAATGAAAAAACGAGCCAAGGATAAGATCAGACAATTTATAGAAGAAAGAACCTAAATGTCCAAGAAAAAACAAATATGAGAATGTGTTCAACCTCATTAGTAATTAAGAAAATGCAAATGAAAACATATTTTGCACCCTATTAGACAAGAATCACACATCAGTTAAAAATGAATGGGTAAACTAGATCTAAATATTTTCTTATGGATAAGAAAGGTGGAAACAACCCAAATGTTCATTAACTGATGAATGCATAAATAAAATGTGCTACATATACATTACATATACACTCAAAAACAATGTTGAGTTTAAAAAGTTAAGTTTCAGCTCACTTATAGAATAAACAGACATTTGTGTAAAGTTTAAAAACACATAAACTGAAGCAAATATTTTTATGAATACAGACATCTGTAGTAAAGGTACAAAAACTCAGAAGGACAGATACCCAGTAACTTCCTGATGACAGCTGTCTCTGGGGACGGAGGGACAGGAATAGAGTAAGGGTGGCACAGAAGAGGAGTTGTCCCTTATTTTCATTTATTAAAAACAAAGTAAAACAAACAAACAAACAAACATCTGGAATCCCAGCACTTTGGGAGGCCAAGGTGGGAGGATCACTTGAGCCCAGGAGGCTGAGGCTGCAGTGAGCTGTGATCACGTCACTGCACTCTAGCCTGGGTGACAGAGCAAGACCCCATCTATTTTAAGAAAAAAAAAAAGAAAGAAAAAAAAACTGAAGCAAATAAAACACATTGTTGATATTTGTTAATTCTGAATAGCGGGCACCTATGCCTTTATTGTATACTTTCCATGCTTTCTGTGAGTCTGAAATTTTTTAGAATTAAAAAACTAATAGTCTATTAATGTGGAGAAATAAGACACAAGTCTGCAAAGATGAAGTATATAAATGTGTAAATTTTGCTACGGTGAGGAAATTGACTAAACGTTTATGTGTGAGAGAGAGAAAAAGAGAGAGAATGGCAGATATTTCCTGCATTGAAAGTTGCCAAGTTGGGTTTATTTGAAGAGACCTCATAATGACAACTTTGGTGACACTCCCTAGTCAGGGATCTCTGGATAGGGCAGGGCCCAGAGACTTGGACATTTGCTCAGGACAGTGCGCGCTGCAATCGACTAAGGCTGCTTTCTGTTGCTGCCAAGCAACAAAATTCAGAACAAAAACTGTTACCCACTTCTGATTCATCCAATATTTTTTATAGTCCATGGGTTCATGTTACGTGCTTATTGGCTTAAATTTATTTATTTAAATAAATAAAATTATAAAGTTTAAAATAAACCTAAACTTAAATAATGGTTTAGGTATATTTTAAACCTAAAATATAAGCCATAATATTATAGGTTGGATCAATGTTTTTTAGACTACGTTTGCTATTCTAATCACAACTGGGAAAAAGTGATCCCTAGCCCATTTGCTTTTGAGGCTCTTGCCTGACACCAGTTCATGTTTTCTGAAGAATACCAAAAGGAAAATGTTACCACCACTCACTCATTTAACAAATGATCTGCTGTTGATTTTCTGGGCTGCAGATTCTGTGTTAAACATTTAAACAGCCACACGGAAATGACAACTTACTGACAAAGTTGGCTAAGAAGTTCCATGGTTCCACAGTTCAGATCTCTAAGTATGAGTCCACGTTGCCTGCTTGCTCAGCACACAGGAATGCTTAATTTACATGGTACTTTTTTAACTAATAAACACTTCTTTCTAATGCAGGGCTAACTTGCAGAAGCCTAACTTAGTATTCTTGGGTTTTTTGAACCATATCACAGGAGATAAAGCAGGGAATTCTTTTCCTAAGAATCACTGCAAATTTGTAAATATTGTATGTCAGTAAATATGGCATTAAGATGGAATTTCTGTTTGGTAAGATTAGTGACTGTTATTTTCACAGCATGTTCTGACATAAGAAGAGCATACTTATTTTTTAAGCAGAGTACACGATAAAATGTATAATCCTTTCCCAAATCTCATTATTCAAAATTTTCTAGAACACAGCCTCCTTTGTTAGAATATAACCTTGTGGGCAGGAAATTTATCCTATTTATTTGGCATACAGGTCGTATCTAGTTAGCAGCTGTTGTGAATAGTGCCAACGCCAGATAATTACATGGATTATGGACTGCATTATCTAATCAAGAATCAAGATGCATGCCCTATCTTTTGCTCTTAAAAGATGGCATGAGAAAAACAAACAAAAAAAATGGAAGTAAAATATTAGGATTCTAATAACTCCCCAATCAAGAAAACTGTGTTTTTGCACATGAAGAAATAAGTGTGGTCATTGTGATTTTGGAAAAATATATAATCTCACACTAAGAACAGTAATGTAAACAGCACATGGACAATTAGCTATAAATCTCTAGAAAGCAATTCTTTATACTGAAGGACAAGAACCAAGATATTAATATTTATGGGTACACACACACACACACACACACACACACAAAACAAGAAACATGATGTGGTATGGCCTTGCACCTTGGGTTTGGCTGGCCAACCAAGGGGAAAACCCCTGACCCAAGCTGTCCTGGGCACATTCTCTTTTTGGTATTTGGAAATGGAGACGAGAAAGCTGAGTCAGAATCTACGTGTGTGACAGTCCCTGCCATGTGTAAGCTTGGGCATTCTGGGGAGGCCATGTTTTGCTCTGTGAACTAAAGGGCAGAAAAAGCCATTCAGTAAAGAGAAACAAAGGAGATGAGTGCTGTATAATCTCCTGTTGCTGCTGTAACAAATTACCACAAACTTAATGGCTTAAGACATACAGATGTGTGATCTTACAGTGCTGGAAGTCAGAAGTCTAAAATTGGCTGGCCGTTTGCATTCTTTCAGAGGCGATAGGAGAAATTCTATTTCCTTGCTTTTTCCATCTGAGGCTGCCTGAATTCCTTGGCTTATGGCTACATCACTCCACTCTGCTTCCATTGGTCACATCTTCTCTGACTCTGACCTTCTTACCCGCTTCTAAGGACTCTTGTGATTACACTGAGCTCACCTGGATAATCCAAAATAAATTCTCCATCTCAAGATATTTAATTTAATTGCAAGGTTCCTTTTGCTATATAAAGTAGCATTTTACAAGTTCCAGGAATTAGGACACCTTATGTGTGGTGGGGGACGGGGGGTCATTATTTGCCTACCCTAAAAGCTCAAGGAGGAACAGTGATGACAGGTTCCAATAAAATGAAAAGTTCCAGTAGCAAGCCATTCCTGCATTTCTGCTCTTGGATGCCATGACACACTCTTATACTCCTGTAAGAAGCCTTTTGGGCAACAGCTGCCTGAGCGCTCTGTTGACATGAATTCTGAAGACTTATTGGAATGTCATGATGAGTGAATGAATGTCTGCCAGGGCACCAAACAAGGAGAGCTATCTCATATGTGTCACAAATTCGCCATCCTTGCTCAGGATTAGAAGTTGTAGAATTAGTATGGCTGGGTGTAAAGAATCATTTTGTTCATTATAAAAAGGGGGCTTAAACTATGAACATTTAAATCCTTGTTAATAGTACCAGAACCTTAATTAAGGGCTATTTGCCTCAGGAGCCTGTCTGTAATCTCAGGAGCTGAGAGTAGGTAGGCCACATGTTACCATGCACTAGATGCATAGCACTTAGGAAAAAAATCAACTTGATGATTTTGCTACATAACACCTCTCCCTTTGAACAAAACAGTTGCTGTTTGGGGTCCCAGATCACAAACCTTTGAACAAAACAGTTGCTGTTCAGAATCACTGATCACGGACCTTAGGATCGCATCATACGGCTCCTCCTAAGTAGCATGGCCACAGGCAGGAGGCAATCTGTCTCACTAGGCAAAGCATTTTTCCATGTCAGAGCATTTGCTCACAAGAGAAGGCCATTGGTTTCAGCAACCCAAAGTTTTCTTTCTGTCAGTTTTGTTTAGTGCCCTGTGCCAGGAGCTCACTTATGCCTGTATCCTTGGCTCAATTTAATAGGGAATTCTGCCCTGAGTGACACTTAATAACCTCAGTAACCGCTAGCTCCAGTGTTCTCAGTGACTTCATAGTGCTGAAATTACATCGTCACATTCACACCAGCTAGAAACAAAGATAAGCCCAAGATGGCACAGAATTCATGAGGAGCCGAAGGGTGAGCTGGAGGGTATGGCTACGTTTTTTAAACGGCATCAAGAACTCAACCTGTCTCTCAGAATCAGTGAGAGCACTTAAAAGGAGAGGAGCCAGACTAAATAACTCACCAGGCAGACCTCCTCTGCTTAACTGCCTTGAAGTTTTCCCTTCCTGAAGAATTCTTTCCTCTCTGAAGATTTAAGGAGGCACATGTGATCTAATCCCCCACACTAGCTTCTAAACCCTGTAGAATGAGTGTTTACAAAGTAGAATCTTTTACTAGATATTGTAAGAGAGATGTCTGTGTGTGTTTTGCCAAGAAATTAAAATCCAGTCTTTGCCAAGGAGCATAAATATACTTGGCAGAATCCAGAGGCTCAGTAGCAAAGATAAAAGTAATTGTTCCCTTCAGCCAATTGCTCACACTTATTACAAAACATTTATCTTCCCCCAGGGTGGATTTTCTCCTCTGATGCCGTCTGGCCCAGGAGGACATCATCCTCCGCCCTGGAGGGCCCATGAGATGCTCAGGGCCACATCAGTACATTTCTATGCAGCTCCAGATAGGTACAACCCACAGAGTACAATTACTGACCTGAAACATTTCATCTCTCAGGGATGTGATATTTTCCCCTCCAGTAATGATCAACTTTTAAGAAAGACATTTATATTTTAACTATGTCATTCTTTCCAGTGCTTTAAAACCTGATTTGATTTTCTTCAGCTCTCTGGGCTTTATATAAATGTCAGTAAACTGAATGGGCTGTCAACACCTAGATTAATGATTGGCTAACAGGAGATTTCTTGGTTTTATATTCAGTGAAGCAACTCAGGGACTGTAAGCACTGTGGTGCTTTTACGATTTTTCCCTTAACCCTTTTATGCCCCTAAAGACGTATCACCCTGGGAGAAAAACAACCACAGTGGTCTGATTCTGAGTAAAACCTCTCTGTTCTTCCTTTTCCTGTGCGGTGTGCCCCAAACCAACTAATTATCAGAAAACTAAAATGTTGATACACCCAAATTTAAACTGGTTAAAACTTTTTAACACAATTTGAAGGTCAAAACAAGTCTAACATTTCAACAAAAACTTGTGCCATCATCAGTAACTAAAATTTAATAATACTTGGCAGTGAATTCAATTTACTCTGTGTACTTGACAATACTACAGCTGCGTTTCTTTCTAAAATAGCCTCTAAAACGTTTCAAATAACGCAATTGCTCATTTGTTTAGAACTATAGTTGTTTGTGTACTTATCTTACTTTTCTCTTGAATTGTGTGTTCCTGGAAGGGAGACACTTCAAAGCATTGCACAAGGAAACCAAACATGCATCAGACATAATCCCTGTCGTTCAGGACTTGAAAACACAAGAGATGAGAACTTCACACAAACAGCCATCCCCATCTTCTAATGGTCCTCTTCTTTTTCTCCTTGCACCCCACTGCTACACTTGCAAAAAACACAAACATTGCTTATTATTTATTAAGTGGCTCTTTTCAAAAACTTCTACAAAAAAAGCCGTCCCTCCAGATCCTTTTGAAAAAGAGTAATCCACATTATAAATCATTCCTATAAATCATCATAATAACATATAATGAGGTTACTATTTGGGATTTTTTGAGCAGAGAGGTAGAGTAGAAAGAGCAAAGAAGGAAGTCTCTTCAGAGAATGACTAAAGTAAGCCATTTGGCAATGTTGTTAACATTGTAGCTCACATTTTATATAAAAGCTAGACACTACAGATTTTAGATTATAAATTATTTTTAAAAATCAAACATCCTGGGGAAATGTTTTTAATACATTAATAATATTATTGTCAAGGTCTTTTCCCACAAAACCACAAATAAAAGAGTATAAAGGTCAGGTGTGGTGGCTCACGCCTGTAATCCCAGCACTTTGGGAGGCCGAGATGGGTGGATCACCTGAGGTCAGGAGTTCGAGACCAGCCTGACCAACATGGAGAAACCCTGTCTGTACTAAAAATATAAAAATTAGCCGGGTGTGGTGGCGCATGGCTGTAATCCCAGCTACTCGGGAGGCTAAGGCAGGAGAATCACTTGAACCCGGGAGGCGGAGGTTGCAGTAAGCCAAGATCGTGCCATTACACTTCAGCCTGGACAACAAAAGTGCAACTGTCACATAAAAAAATAAAAAGGTATAAGATGCATGGTTTTGCACATTTCATGGCCTGACAAGTAGTTATACAAACCAGAATTTCTTTTAATAAACCAAGAAAGTCAAATTTATTCCAGGAAAAAAAAGTAAGATGCAAACAAGTCAAAATCTATCACTAAGATTTTTAGATAATAAAGACACTTAAGAGTAACTATTTTCCACCTTCTTTAGCAAACTTAGTAAATCAAAACTTGGATTTACACAAACAATAACCTATGAAGTGCCTTGATAATATATGAAGTGAGGCCACACGCAGTGGCTCATGCCTGTAATGCCAGCACTTTGGGAAGCCAAGGCAGAAGGATTGCTTCAGCCCAGGAGTTCGAGACCAGACTAGGCAACATGGTGAAACTCTGTCTCTATAAAAAATATAAAAATTAGCTAGGCATAGTGCCGTGTGCCTACAGTCCTAGCTACTTGGGAGGCTGAGGTGGGAGGATCAATTAAGCTGGGAGGTCGAGGCTGCAGTGAGCCATGATTGTGCCACTGCACTCCAGCTTGGGTGACAGGGAGAGACCCCATCTTTCTCTCTCTTTCTCTCTCTCTCTCACTGTGTGTGTGTGTGTGTGTGTGTGTGTAGTGAAATTTAAGTATCTAACTTTTCTAGTTTTACTAAGCAGTTTATAAATGTAATTTTAGGATTACATGTGCTAAGTAAAACAAAGTACATCATAACAGAAAAGAGCCTCCCTTATGAGTAAAACACAGATCTTCCAAGATTTTAGCAAAAAAGAAAAGTCCCCAGGAAGTCATTCCAGAATGGGAGTCTGCTAAGGTTTTCCTCATATTGATTCCCACTGAAGCTCTGACTCAAAAATGAACACTCTTCCCTATCCCCTCCCTGCCCCATTCCCTAGTTCCCTTTGACCCATTTAATATTTTCTTTTAGACTTATAAATGCATATACTTGTGTTGCTTTTCATTTTGTAGTGGTTTTTGCTTGATATATTTTAAAACTTAACTAAATAAGAGAGAACATAAGAAATAATTATGGAAAATCAAAACTCTAAAAACAGGCACATTTCCAAAGTACATATTTCTGATCCTAAAATAATCTCCCTCTAACCCTAAAGGACCAGTAATTCTTTGCAGTCACCTTACCCAGCTCCCATCTTTTCCAGTTCCCTGCATTTCCCAAGTTAGCTGAGAAGTCTTGGAATCTATACTAATAAGAACCAATCTTAGAAAATAGTTCTTAGACACAAAATTTGACCCTTTCCTTTTATTTCCTTTCTTTAAATTTCCTTCACCTGTAAGCCTGCACTTAAGCCCAGTTTCCCATCTAAGAAACACAACTGATTAATGGGGACATGGTGATTAGAATAATTAATTATCCACCTCTTTCTAGCCCAAAAGTTACAAGTTCAGTCCACCTTCGGAGGAGGCTGTGATTCAGTGGCAAGTCACTAAGTATACAGCCAAATGTGTGATATCCCTAAACTGGACAACAGCCATTGCATACACACAATGTTATGTCTTACTCCACACTACTGGCTTTGGAGGCCATGGAACTCAGGGGGACTCAGCCTGCTCAGGTCTTATCCACAAACCACTCCCAACAGCTGAATAAAAGGAAGACAAAGCCCCTCAAGACTGCAGGAACAGAAGACACAAACACTTGATGAGAAAAGAGCCATAGGGCTGACTATTTGAACCGCAAAGGAGTTGTGGGAGGAAGTCATTGAGAAATGAAACTCAGATTAACAGCCCAGGACAAACTGGAATTTGACTACATGTTTATGACTCAACATGGAATGCTACCAGATTTTTTTCATGGACGTTTATTCACATCTGAAACATAAACTAGCAAGAAAAAAATCCAACAACAAAAAAATAGCAACAGACTCCCAGTAATTAGAATAATTTCTAGATTTCTGCTTTTTGTAGAAAAACTACAGTTTGAGAGTAATACTGTGAGGAAGACAGCAGAAGTCAAAGATTTGTGAGTGGTCATTTTTTCAGATGGGTTCTCTTTTCTCTTTTTTGTTGGTGTCCCATCCATATCCCCTCAACATTCACCTCATCGGAAACTCCCAGCCCTTGTGGCTCTCCACTTTATGGCTTTCTTCCTAGTCAGGGAGTTAGCCACACTACAAGTCAAGTCACAAGTGTCAGGGTTCATGACCCTGAGTAATCCTCAGTCCAATGTAAGATGAGTAGTTGGTAGATAAATACTCTAACTTCCTCACTCCTCGGTTGGTATAACTTTGAGGCCGGTTCTACACTGGATGCCAGGGTTCCCCAGGGGGATTGAGCTCTGCCTGCCCACGTAGTAACCCCATAACACACCGTTTAAAGGCTGCCTTCCCCTCCCATCTTACTTCTCCAGTTCCCCATTGGTATTTCCTGGGATCATTTCCCTCCCCAAATTACTCGTACCCAAATCTTTAGAGTTTGTTTCTGAGGGGACCCAAATTAAGACAGGGTCTTGGCTGACCCTTGTCTCACTGAGCCAAACATGAATGGCATGGCAAATCCACGTAATACCATGAAACAAGTCCCTAGGTAGCGCAGAACAGGTGTGCTTCTGTTCAATCATCTCACATCTGGCATCATGAAGGCTCAGTGGGATGGGTAAAGGTGGACTGGTGCCAATGTAACCAAAGCATCAAGTTATGAAGATTATGTAAACATTGATTCTGCACAGCATTGGCGAGTGTGTGAGAAAACAGGCATTCTCACTCAACCTTCATTGAAGTGGGAAATGTTACAATTCTTTGAAGGCACTATCTATCAAAACTTTGAATGTGTGTATAGACTTTGGCCCCCAAACTCCTCTTTTAGGAATTTATTCTGTAAAAATACTTGCACATGTATGTCTAGGAATTTTCATCATAGCATATTTAAAATAACAAAACAATTTCCACCAAAAGGAGACTGAATAAATTGTGGTGCATTCATATAATGGAATAATTCATAGCCTTTTAAAAATGAGATAAATCTATATGTATTCAGGTAGAATATCTCCAAGATACATTTTAAAAATGAAAAAGTAAATTACAAAACATAGTCTTTTTTGTTTTAAAAAATTGTATATAAAGTAAACCAGAACATATAGAAAGCCATACTGTGTTTTAGACAGGAAGACTCAACATGATAAAGATGTCGGTTTCAAGTTATTTCATAAATGCAATGCAATCTTAGTAATTAAAAAAATGACATGAAGTTTCTTTTCTGGAGCTAGACAAATTAATTCTAAACTTCATGCTAAAAATAAATAAATAAACAGGCAAGAATAGCCAGGAGAGACCTGAAAAGAATGAACAATTGCTGGGGGTGGGAGTTGGGGTAAAGAGGAGAGGCTAGCCTCTATCTGTTATTTAAATATGTAATAGAAGTCTCTGTAGTTCAGCTGTGTGGTACTGGTTGAATAGACTATGGCGTGAATGAGAGGCGGACCAATGGAACAATAGAAATTATAAAAATAGAGCCAAATCGGGAAATATAATAAAAGAGATAGGTGGCATTTTAAATCAGTGGGTAAAAGATGGGTTTTAACACATTCTTTTTAATTAACAAAATTTTTAATTAAAAACATTTGAAATGAATAGACATTTAAATAAAGATACAAGCAGATTCACACATTCTAAGTGAATCAGGTATCTGAATGTACAAAATGAGACCATTTTAGTATTAAAATAAATCATGGATTAATTTATTTAAAACCTGAGAGTGGAGAAACCCCCTACCTAGAACTCTATACCCAGACTCAATAAAGTTAAAAAGCTTTCACATGGCAAAAAGTCTCATAGGCAAAGACAAAAGACAAATTGGAAAAATATTTGCAGTGTTTATCATGGAGCTAATCTCTCTGGTACATAAAGAGCTCCTACAGATTGTGAAGAAAAAGACCAACAATCTGTCAGAAAACTTTAAAAATGTCTAAATACTTTATAGAAAAGTAAAAGCAAATGGTCTTTAACATATAAAAAACTTCAACCTCATTCATACTAAGAAAAATGAAAATGAAAATTTAAGGAGCTATTACTTCTCTACCAACAGATGACAAAAAAATCCAAAATCTACGTCTGTTCCCAGGCTGTGGAGAAACAAGCACTCTTATGCATTGTTGGTGGGAATGCATAATCGTAAAACCCCAATGGAGGGGAATTTATCAATTCCACAAAAAATGTATGTTATATAAGTATATACATAAATTACATATTTTATATATAAATATATACATAAATTATTTATATACACATAAATTATATATTTTTATATATACACACAAATTGTGTGTATATACACATATATACACATAAATTATATGTATATACATATATATGCATAAATTGTATACATATACACATAAATTATATGGATATATACATAGATACATAAATTATATGTACATATAGATACATAAATTATTCCTTTATATATAAATATATACATAAATTATATTTATATATAAATGCATATAAATTATTTCTTTATTAAACATAAATTTATATATATATATTACCCCTTGACCTAGTCATCCCACTTTTAGAAATCTAGCCCAAAGGAATATGTATATATATATATATATATATATATATATATATATATATATATACCCCCACACACACACAAGACTATTTATTGTGACAATATTTATAACAGCAAAAGATTGGAATCAACTCATTTATAGTCTATCCATCAATAGCATACTGGTTAAAAAAAACTCTTATGCATCCACATAGTAGAATCTATGCAGCTATAAAAAATATTAAGGTAGTGCTCTATATATTGATATAGAATGATCTTCAGGATACATTATTATATTAACTTTTAAGGCAAAGTGTTGAATAATATGAACAGTATGCTTGTTTTTTAGGTAAGAAAGAGGAATACAAATACATGTTCCTCATGACAACATTGTGGTCAATAATGAACCCATATACAATGGTAGCCTCATACAGTTATAATGGAGCTGCCCTGAACAGCTGTCATATTTTTACTGTATCTTTTCCATTTAGATATGTTCAGATACACAAATACTTGTCATTGTGTTACAATTGCCTACAGTATTGAGTACAGTAACATGTACTATAGGTTTATAGCCTCGGAGCAATAGGCTATACCATATTGCTGAAGTGTGTAGTAGGCTATATCATCTCTGTTTGTGTGAATACACTCTATGATGTTCAAACTATGATGACATCTCCTAACAATGCATTTATCAGAATGTATATATACTTATATTTTCAAAATATAAACACTGAAAGGTTAAATAAAAAACTAATTAAAATGGTTATGCAGCCAGATGCAGTGGCTCATGCCTGTAATCCCAACACTTTGGGAGGTCGAGGTGGGCAGATCACGAGGTCAAGAGATAAAGACCATCCTGGCCAACATGGTGAAACCCCGTCTCTACTAAAAATACAAAAATTAGCTGGGTGTAGTGGCACGCGCCTGTAGTCCCAGCTACTCCGGAGGCTGAGGCAAGAGATTCGCTTGAACCCGGGAGGTGAAGGTTGCAGTGTGCCAAGATCGCGCCACTGCACTCCAGCCTGGCGACACAGCGAGACTCCATCTCAAAAAAAATTATTTTTTCATCTGACCACTAAATAGTTCAATAAAAATGAGCACCTGCAACACACAGAACTTAGTCTCTAGACACCTGAAGGGAAAAAAGACACTAAAGAGGATTCCTTGGAGGAATGACTAGTTCTAGTTTTGCAAAAATGAGAGAAAATGTACAATATGAGCTTCAGAAATCTTTTTGTGCCAGAGAGTAATGAATGCTTTAAAGCAGAGTTGTACATATAAAGGACAAAGGAGCGGCTTGAATGAGCTCTCCACAATCAACTCAAGAACGGGAAGGAATTCAGACTGTAAGTGAAATCATATTAAATATTTAAAAATCCAAGAGTTTATGATGATACTCAAAAAAGGAAAGCCCTCCAAAAAATTCTGTGTCCATTGGAAATAGCTTGTGCAAAAGCTCTCTATTTCTATAATGGTAACTAAAGGGAAAGAATTAGGCATTTATTGTGACTTTTCTATCTAAATTATATTTCAAAGCATCCACACAGCTAGCCCTAATTGATGTCAGAGAGTGCCTCATTACATAATCCTTTCAGAGGATAAGTACTGAAGAAATGATAAAATTCAGAAACATCTATTTTACGATCTCCGATGAAATAATTGATTCAGGCCACAGTCATCAACAGATGCTAAAATCCTAGAAAAAAGGTTAATAGGGGAACTAGATATTTGCAGGATGCCAAGCACTGATTACTTGTTGTTTGTAAGGGAAAAGGAAAACTTTGTATTGAAGAGACCAGGCTGTCACCCCTGAACACACTGATAATCCTGATCATGCTAACAACAGGACAATTAGATATTGTGTGCCTCCTCAGGTGATACAATCTGAAGAACGTGGGATCACCTATGAAGTATTCTTGCCAAAAAGTTAATCCCAAATCTAAGCGACTATAAAAGGGTACTTTCCACAGTTGTAAAAAGGCAACTGATCATGGAAAAGGAAACTGAAAATGGATTCGATATTAGGTGGGGAAATTATTGTCAATTTTTTCAGACGCAGTTAGAAAAATGAGCTTTTTTTCTTCTTGGAGCTGTGTACTGAAGTATTTGGGGATGAAACGTCATGATATCTAGGAATTGCTTTAAATGCTTCAGAGAAAAATAGATGAAATATGGCAAATAATAATCACTATTAAGTTTAGGGGATAGTTACTGTCATAGAGAGCCCATTACGATAGTCCATCCTGTGAATATATGTTGAAAACTTTAAAAAAAATAAAAAATGCCTTCTAAAAACTATATTTTAATATATTCCACTTTTATCCTTAAATAGATATATGAGATTTGTCTGTGTATAGAGGAAGTTTTACGTTCACTCACTCATTCATTAATCAATACGTACGTACATGCTATGACTGGCGCTGCTTCTCATGACAGGAGCAGACACAGTCCAGGCCCTCATGAGCCCACATCAGAGCAGAGGAAGCAAACATTAAACTAGTTATGAAATTAATTGTTTAATTGCAGTTGTGATGAGACCTTAAAGGAGAAGTCCAGACTGTAAAGAGAGCATCTAAGAAGAGGAGATCTGGCCTGGCCAGGGAAGTGATGGTCAAGCCAAATGCAAGACAAATATATTGTTCTCCCAAATGCAATGAAATGTTAGGATCTCATGAACAGGAAGTGGCTGAATTATTGGTAGCAAGAGAGGACTTAAAGGTTAGGGGCTGGAGCCAGCTTCCAGATGGCCCCAGGGGCCAGTCAGGTGAGAACAGGGCACAGAATCTGTAGGGACCTACACAGAGGCCCTGCCATGTGTTAATCTAGTGAGAACACTGGCTCCTTACCAAGCCCGACCAGATACAAGAGGTGGGGCAGGGAGAGAAGCAGGTTAGGGACTTCCTGCCTGGAATCAGCTGAACTCCATTTGTAGAGGGAAAGAGCTGAAGTCCAGCTGGGGAAAGCTGTGAAGAGCTGAGCCGGGGAAATCAGGCAGGGCTCGCCCAAGCACACAGAAACTTGGATGATAGGTCAGACTCCAGTTTGTTTACAAACAACAGTACATTACTTGAATTCCCCAAGGTAATACTCTGGAGGAGTATTAACTCGAAGTCTCTCCAGATTGCAAACTTCTCTCAGAGGAATAATAACACATTTTATCTCTTCTGTCCAAGGAGATACGGAATTGTCTCTAGAGTTTGGCTTGGTATCCTTCCTGAAATAGTCAAGGTTAAACATGACTTTCTATTTCCTTACCCTTTACAGATGGAACAAATGTGGTGAGTCTAAAAGAGACTATACCTATTGCTAATTTTTTTTAAAAAATATGAAATATTTTAAGTACATTGAGAAGTACAGAGAGTAATATGCAAACATACCTTGCCTACCACTCAGAACTGAAACTACATATATAGTGTGGTTTTTGTGCATCTTTAAACAAGTTTTACAATAAATTACCCAAGTCTTATCTTACTATAAAGTATCAATTTACAAATTGTTTTGCCACTAAATACTGTTTTTTCAAGATTCATAAATGTAGATCTAGTTTATTTCACTTTAATTATTTGTTATACTCCATTATGAGAATATACTACAATCTATTAATCCATTTTTCCTACTGGCAGGCATTTTAAAATTGTAAACTTTGAAATGTTAGAGGTCATACTGGGGCAGTAAACATCCTTGTATGCTACTGTAGGTGAACATGTGCAAGCGTTTCTCTAACATTTATACCAGGAAGGGAATTCCTGTGTTCCTGCCTTTTTATCTAAATATGACTCTGGCCTCCTGAGGTGCAGAATATATCTTTAAACTGCTTTGAAGTTAGAGATGATGGAGAAATTCAGCAGGATTGTTGATGGACAATATCACCTTATGGAATAACTAATACACATTTCTCTGTAGGGTATTTTGCTTTATATAATTACATTGCTTTATTTATTTATAATAATTTTGTTAATCAGTTAATGACCATATTCAGTATTATAATTTACTAGCACAAATAATTTGCATTATAAGTTTCTTTTTTGTTAGCGTATACTCTCCTTATCTTAGACTATCTAGTAAAGCAAGTCTTATATCTTCTGGAGAAATCCTAGAATCATACCTTCCTCCCATCTTTTATAATGCAAGGACTATTTTTCTATCAAACTGTATATACATTAATTAGTTTTCTCATCGTAATAAGAACTGCTCAATCCAAGTTTTGGATCTTTAGAAAATAACCAATGTTACTACACTGTTTATCTAATTTTAGCTATAAACCAAAAATCTTAATATTTTAGCTATCCTATGATCTCTTCAAGGATATCTACTTAAATGGCACCACTAGTCTAGCACCCAGCTCACCTATAAAATCTAAACTTCTGAACCAATAAGTATGACTTTATTAACATATTCAAATATTTTAAAATATTTCTACTTGTAAATCACACATCCTCTAGAAAGACATGAGAGAAAAGAAAAGGAGCAAAGTAAATCCAAGATTTGTGCAAATTATGAATTGATGAAGTTCTCTAATGACTGTTCATGGCTAGATTTCCTTTTTTCCTTTCTGTCAGTGTCTTATTGTCCATCCACAAAGGAGATATGCAATGACTTTCATTCACATTTGCTTAGGGGAGATGTGAAAGCTGGTATGTAGCTTTAGTCAACTCATTAAAATGTCAAATTTATTGAGTTGATTTAATTCAATTAGTTACAACAAATCAGGTTATCCTGACTGAGACCACCATTAGATGGTATTATCTGGCAAATAAATAAATAAAGAGCTAAACTTTAGCCAAACACAGTAGGAATCAATAGAGTCTGTTTTTCATCCCTGAACTCATAGGTATCCTGTAAACTTCAGCTGACCTGGTATCATTCCAGAATGGGCCAGAAACCCTGGATTCTCTCTGAGTCTGAATTGTACTGTTTAAGCTGCATCAGAAGGAAGCAACCCACAGTTTGCACTTCAGGACCAATAGCTATTAAATTGAAGAACTGAGTTCTGGAGGCTATAGTGATAAAATAAAATAAACTTGTTTAGCTTTATAGCAACTTTTCATTCCTGTGCAGATATGTGCATCTTGAACATTTCAAAAATACAAAGGCACAGCTCCAAAAACAATCATGTAAACCAGATGTTCATATTATTAATCTCACCAGATGGAAACAAACATTTACTTTTTCTCAGAAGATAGTGTACATTTTGGGGCACTCCCTAAAGACGACATGTATATGTGGTAGGTTTTAAGGGGCAAGACTGTAGGTGGGAGAATATTGTATTGCCAATTTGCACTTCAATTGAATCCCATCTGTTAAGAGCCACTGGCTTGGGCAAATGCTGTGGTACTCATCCACCATCTCCATTTACAGGGCAGCCTCAGAGATCTAAGTCCAGATCCAATAATAGCTAATGGTTTTTAGCACTTACTGTGTGCCAGACACTGTTCTGTGTCCTTTCACTTGTATTTATTCATCTAATCCTCCGTAACCTCATGAGGTAGATGCTATGTTTTTTTTGTTTGTTTTTGGTTTGGTTTTTTTTTTTTTTTTTTTTTTGAGACAGAGTCTTACTCTGTCACCCAGGCTGAAGTGCAGTGCCACAATCTCAGCTCACTGCAACCTCCCCTTCCTTCCTGGGTTCAAGCAATTCTCTTGCCCCAGCCTCCCCAGTAGCTGGGATTACAGGTATGCACCACCATGCCAGGCTAATTTTTATGTTTTCAGTAAAGACGGGGTTTCACCATGTTGGCCAGGCTGGTCTCGAACTCCTGACCTTAAGTGATCCGCCCTCCTTGGCCTCCCAAAGTGCTGGGATTACCGGCGCAAGCCACTGCACCCAGCCGAGGTAGATGCTATTATATCCTCATTTTACAAACGAGGAAGTTGAGACACAGAGAGATTAAGTAACTTGTCCAAGTTACACAGCTCCAGAGCTTGTGCTCTGAAGCTCCTGGGTAGGAGTGTCCAGTGGAGAGAACACAGTCATGGGTTCTTGGCTTCTGTTTCTGGTCAGGCCAATAAATCTCCTTCCTCATCCCATTTTACTGCTTATGACTAGAGACAGAAACTAAAAACCATGGCTTCAGGCTGCTAAAAGCCTAAAACAAAACAAAACAAAACAGAATAGCAACAAAATAAGGCTGGTTGGACAAGCTTGCTAGACCACAGCACATATTTTGCAAAGCTCCAAGAGGGCCAGTCAGCTACAAGTTGGCTAAGGTCTAAAGCCCTCAGTGACTGGATCCCTTAGGGAATTATTCTAGGATTTGAGACCCCACTGCCAGACTCAAAATCCAGAGGGAAAGACAAATAAAACCAAGAGCAGGACCTGCCATTCACTCTGAAGTGGCCATCAAAAAGTCTGGCCTTTGGAGACTCTTAAAATCAAAGCTGGTTTGGAGCCAGATCAGGCTTCCTGGGTTTTTTTCCAGGCTATAATTTCATAAAATTCACTAATTATTCTTCAAATGTTAATAGTTTCACTACTGTTAAGGTTAGGGGAGATCTCCTGGTCAAGTCAATTTGAAAAAAGCAACATTCTATTGAAGATACATAATGAATCACAATTAATGTGAATCTATTAAAGGCTTATAGAAATCCTGCAGTAAAGAAACGTGTTTAATGTTGTTTAAGCTAGCATTTCCCAAACTTGCACCCCTTAACATGTCATGGAATACCATCTGGGACTAGTGCTCCAGAATGAAGTTGATCAGTGGCATCTCAAGACAGGTGTGGAAAGGTATAGATGCTCTCTGGTCTGCCATGTCTTAAAAACATTCCACAAAACCTGTTACAGCCCCTGTATCCCTGCTTCCTGGGCCTGGCACCAGGAGGGCCTTCTCCTCTGAAAAATTTGGCAGGGTGAGGGCTTTAAGACTGGCATTCCATAATCCCAGGCCTAGGCTCAGCCTCCTAAGTCCCACTGGACTTTTCTATCCAACAGCTTGGTGTGTGGCCCTAAGCAACTTGAAAATGAGCCATTCAGTTCTGATCCCCAAACCAGGGAGCAAGACATTTTGTTTGGATTTTCAGATCTTTGGCAACCTTCCATATAAATGGTTCCTCAATAAGCAATGAATCATGAACATCCATTATGGACAGGAGCAACTGGGTAATAATAGAACAGACACATGCTGTCCTTATGGCTTTTTCTTCAAAAGAGGGGGAGCTAAACTGAATTAAGTTCATTCCCACACTATGCTACTCAGTGTTTCTTAGGGTATGAGAAACCTGGAAATTACAAAGCAAGCCAAAAATGAATTGCTCTTTGGTTAAGTCACGCAACTAATGGTTAAATTCCTCTGTGACAAAGCACAGCATCTCATTCCCAGTCTATCAAAGATCACCAAACCAAGCAGTAGCCAGCCTACAAATATATCATCTACTGTTCCATCCAACCAAGGATCTCAGAGCTTTTTAAAAGTGCAAACTGATTAGGACATTCATCTTACTGGAACAGAACTGTTCACAGGCTAGTGCTGTTGTCTTAGGACATCATTCTTTTTTTGCTAGGGAAGGTGGAAATTAGGACTGACTTTTATAGCTGCTATGGTGCTCATGAAGATCATTAATGACATTTTGTGTTTGTTAAGGTGGAATTATCAATACATGAAAACTTCTCATTAGATTGTGACAGTAATGACCTAAAGCTGTTATTATATCAAGTAAAAACTGTACAATGGAAGGGAGGAGAGCTATGCGGCCTTGACTGGGTTTCTGTATTTCCATGGCTTCAGTTTCCTCATATAAAAAGAGGATTGAAGAAGAAACTCATTAAACTTCTTTTAAACTCTGAATTTCTATGAATATATCATAGCCTGTTATAAAATTTGAAATATCCCATGATGTAGAATTACATAATTTGTACTGAACTTTTCACGTGTGTTTGCCTCCTTAACTCCTCAGAGGAATGGTAGACTCCTCAAGGGCAGGGCTGGTACTGGCTTTTCCCATACCTCTTTGTTGAGTGTCTTGTACTAAGTCTGTTCTGTTCTCTACTAAGCCTCCAGGCATAGCACCATAGCTGGCCCATCACTGGTGCTCAATAAATACTTGTTGACTAGCTGACATAAGAAGAGGCACAATTATGCCTTCACTATGCCACTGAAACTTCTCACCCAGAATCCACTAACCTCCTAATATTCCAGCCAAACAGCCTCCTCTTGGTCCTCATTAATCTTGACCTGTCTGGAACTTGGGACACCATGGAATTCAATCTTCTGCTTTTTTCTTAGCCTTCTGTACATGTCTCAAGGGACTTGACTATTGATAGCTCTTTTAAGGAAAACAGCCTTTTCTGTAGATGTGGGCTGGACTTCTTCCATCACATTTTAGAGCCCCTGAGCCCTCAGCCACCACATTGACTATCAGGTGGTTTCCTGATCCCAGGTGCCTGGCTTGGAGTTCAATTTCCTGAAGTCTTTGGTCGAGAGCTGCCTGCACTACAGGCATGGAAAAGTCTAGGCTTTTGGCTAGCAAATGGAGTAATAGAGAGGAACTGGCCCAGGCATTCACCAACAATATCGATGGGTCAAACATGATAGCAGGGTCAGCAGGAGCAAAGTCAGGAAATCAGGAAACTCTGAACAACACCAGGTGCCCTCCTCATGCTTAGTCCTGCCAAGCAAAAGTAGCAGGGAGACTAAAGCGTGGTGGTAGCAAGGCGGCTGCAAGGGCCTGCTATGTTGGCCTAGTCCATCTACTCAGTCTTCATGAACGCAAGGCAGTGGGTGGGAAGACATGCAGTATTATCAGAACACTTTCTACTTCTACATTCCTGTGACTTGAAGATGAGATAGAAACCAAGTGTAACAAGAGAAGAGCAACTGTAATTCTTACTTGTCCTGTGGATTAGATGGGATATAGGGGAGAGGAAGGCAGCTGTTTATGCTTAGTGGGTACTTTAAATTTTATATTTTCATGTGATCAGGAAAGGGACAAAGTGGTCTGATGATTCATTTTACAATAATGCTTATTAGGAGTTATTAGGCACTAAGTGCATGATAAGCATGATCACACGTAATTCTCACAGTAGTTATATGAGGTAAGCATCATTCTTCCGATTTTGCAGGAAACCAAGGCTTAGAGAAGTTTATTACTTTCTCAAGTTAGCTGGAATTTGGATCTAAGTTTCCCATGCCCCTAAACACCCTCTGACAGTGCTTGTCAACATTCAATAGATCTGTGCTGGCTATCTACTCTGGAAAAAGCACCATTTTGGAGCTATGGAGATTAAAAATATGAATTAGACATAGTTCCTGTGCTCAAAGAGTAGTTCATGATTCAATAAGATAATTAGAGTCTAGTCAAACTTGTGTAGTACAAAGGAGAATCGAGTGCCATAAGAAATTGAAACATCTATAGCGGTTAAAGACAGAAGTCAGAGTGATTGTGTAAGTACACGTAATAAAGAAGAAAAGCACAAGACGGACATAAGAAACACTGAATGATCCAGAACTGCCAGAGATGAGAAAGGTTAAAAGGAGGCAGGAGGAAGTACTGTTAGTGTGGTAGTTTGGGGCAGATGAAGGATTCTAAATTTCCAGCCTTGATTTAGTTATATTCGCTCTGGAGAACAGGTGATGTTTTCCAGCAAGAGGATGCTATAGAAGAAGTCTGAAAGTGGTCTGCTCTGAGGGTTGGAAGTGGATCAGCTTGAGTGAGGGAGGACATTAAGGAGGCTGGAAACTAGGCTGAGAATCAGGCCAAGAGGCAGAGAGCTGATGAGGGCAGGAGCAGTGAGACCAGAGGAAAGAGGATGGGTGAGAGGTGAGAGCAAGTAGGGCTGGCAAACAAACAACTGTGGAGAATAAGTGGGAAAAGAAGTAAATGGGATCCCACGGGTGATTAGAAAGATGATGGTATGATCATCGGTAAGGATCCTGGAACTCAGAAAGGAACTGAGGAGGAAGAATGTTTAAAGGGAAGGTGATGAGTTCAAGATATTTTGAATATACCAACTTGGAAGTGTCCTCAAGAAGTTCAAGGGCAAGCATGACAGGAATTGCAAGTGTAGGATAGATGATCAGGAGATCAGTCATGACTGAATAAAGAAATAGGTGGTGTATCACACGCATGAAAAGTTGAAGCCATAGAGTACCAAAGGAAAGAAATCATTCATTGATCAATGAATTTGAATGAACTCTTACTCTGTAGGCATGAAGGATGCAATGGTGACAGGAGCCCTGCTTTCATGAAATTTACCTTCAGGAACATGGACCAAAAAGAACAAAGCCAAATGCAGAATTTTAGAGGACATTTATTCTTAGAGGATGAATGGAGAGGAAGAGCAAGACAGGTAACAAAATACTATGTCTTAAATGCCAAAAGGAAGATGTTTCAATGGAAAAGGGTAAAAATATTGCAGAGGGAATTAGTTCGTTGTAATTATTCCATAAACATTTATGCCTTGAATCTGCTGAATGTGGAGATGCAGCAGAAGACCAGGAAAAGAGTTCATTATTGGGAAGCTTACATTCCAACAGGAGGAAGCCAAGGTAAGCAAATTAAACACCATAGTTATACATTGTCATAACATAAAAAGTAAATAAACAAAATGAAGCAATGAGAAGCTAAGGACTGGAGAAGGCCTCTCTCTCGGACTGCCAGGTGAGTCCTCTTAAGGAAGATATATTGAACTGAGACATGAGGATGGTGAACTCTTGCAGAGCAATGAAAGAGTGTTCCAGGAAGAAAGAACAAGTGCAAAAGTACAGAAGTCACGAAAGGTTATTAGAGCAACAGAAGGAAGGCCAGTGTGGCTGTAGCCTACTGAGCAGGTAGAAGACTGGTATGAAATGAGACTGGAAAACGCTACTGCCAGTGGTTTAGCAGAGAGAGGCTATGTCTGGGCCTTGGTTGGTGACAGAAGACATAAGGAAAGGGCCAGATATGAAGTAGAACTGATAGAATTTCTTGATAGATTAACTATGGGAGATGAAGGAAATGGGGAACCAAAGGTAACTCTGAGATTCTTTGCTTGAGTCAGGTAGGAGGTGATACCATTCATGTGGATGTGAAAGACTGAGGGAAAAAAACATTGAAGGGATAAAGAGGTCCATCTTATACATGTAAAGTTTAAGATGCCTAAGTGAATATTATTTGGATTGCTAAATAAAAATAATGGTTTTTTGGCAATAAGGAGGCCACTGGTTTCCAGGCAGAGGTGTGGCTCATGGTAGTTCCGGAATCATATCCTTTTAGCCACTTCCCCGACAGCTTCAACAGAAAGTCTCTCTGAAGGATTCGATTGGCTTGGCGTGGGTCCAGTGCCCAGCCCTGGGGTATTCACCATGCCAATGGACTCCCAATACTGGATCTTACCTGTTACCTTCCCATTCTAGTGGCTGGTGGGCAGTGGGGCCCAGGGAAGGAATGCAGGGTTCATTTTCAGAAAGAATGTAAAAGACATACCACAGAGACAATGAAAAATAACCACAAAAGGCAGGGAAGTTTGCCTGTGGGAATTGCCATGTGGCAACTTTTTTTCTGGTGTCCTCTCCACTAAAACCTTAGAACAATCTGTATTTTGTTTTATTAGAGACAAAAATTACAGTGAGAAACTGTAGTGGTATGTGGACATCTTTTTGCCAAAACAGGCTCACTTTGATGATGCAGCCAATTGGCCACTCCTAAGTTATTTCTGCTCAGAGTCCAGAAAGGCTGAATAATAAATTGGCTGTTTGATCTAAGTGTTCATTCATTTCCTCATTAAGCAAGTATATCTTAGGTACTTAATATGTGCTAGGAGATGTGGGGTGTATACAGATGTATAAGATAAAGCCTTTAATCCTGTGGGAGAGATTAGACATGAATACAAACAGTAATACAAAAGAGAGTGGGTTAAGTGTCATTTGAAATAAAGTCCTCATTAGGAACCTGACTGTGATGTCTTAAGGAGAAGGTGGTACTTACATAGAGAGAAAGATACAAGAGAAGAGGATTTGCCAAAGCATAGAGACAGGAAGTTCAAGGTAGGATTGTAGAATGGCCAAAACATCAGTTGAGCCGTATTCCAAATTTGCATTACAAGTAATAGGATATAGGGGTTGGAAGCATTTGAGGTGGGGAGATGAGGAGAGGTCAAGAGGTCACCACACCTGCTCTGTGCATGAGCATAGAGAAGAGAGAAGATGGCAGCGCTAGAGAAGAAAGCATGGATGGAAAAAAAGGCATGGAGGGAGGAATGTTTGGCTGGACCAAGGGTGGAAGGTAAAGAGGACTTTTGGAGAAGAAGGAAAAAGTGACTGAGGTTTGAAGCCGAGTGAAAGGCAGTTTGGCTAGAGAAACAGGAAGCTCTGGTGGTTGGGGAAGGTATGGCTAATTGGTTTTGGATATAGCTTAGTGAATCTGAGGTGTCAGAGGGACAGATCAGAGTAGATTTTCAGCAGTGGGTTGGGCATGTGGAATTGGAACCTGAAAAGCCATGTGGACTGGAGACATAGCTTTGGGCAGTATTAGCTGGCAGGTGAGCTTTGAAGGTGTGGCAGCAGAAGAGATTCCTGGGCAGAAAGTGTGGAGGGGGCGGTTGAGGTCAGAACCTTAGGAAATCAGGACAGGGAGGAGTCAAAGCCACAATCTGAGGAAAGATCAGAGAATAAAGGGGAGAAAATGTGATCATGACAAAAGCTAAGGCATGATCCAGCAAATCTTTCATGTGGATGAACCGGTTGTCAGAGAAACAGTTACCTTGTGGCAAACGGAAAACACATCTTTATCCTTCCACAACTCACAGGAGGAGATCCTTAGGCTGAGTAGAGATGTGCTGTGCTACCAGTTAAGCAAGATTTGGAATGCGCTTTGGTTTGGAAGTGCATTTGCCAAATGAGTTAGAGTAAATATATTCCTGTCTCACAAAGGGGGCAGTTGTTGACTTACTCTGTAGGCATGAAGGTTGCAATGGTCACAGGGGCCCTGCTTTAATGAAATTTACCTTCAGGAACGTGGACCAAAAAGAACAAAGCCAAATGCAGAGTTTTAGAGGACATTTATTCTTAGAGGATGAATGGAGAGCAAGAGCAAGACAGGTAACAGACAGAATACTATGATTGGCAGGGTCTGGATGGCTTTGGGGCTTCCTTCTGGACCCTTTTCAGGAGTCCTTCTCTACCTGGTGGACTGGGACTTCGAGGTAAGGGAACCAAGAAAGCCCTAGATTCAAAAAAGGAGGTTCACATAGAGGCAGATTGGAGGGGTGGGTTATTTAAGGAAAAGGATGATTTTGTGGTAGGGAAATTACAAAACCACATCTAGAAGACCCTTCTCTCTGTGTTTTACTAGGAAAAGGGAAAGAATTGGAAATGAAAATTAAAAGGGGAACTAAGATATGAAAACAGTGAGGTTTTCAGATATTCAAGCTAGTAAATGCCATTCCCTCATCCAGAAACTTGCGTGTTACATTATATGTGAATTGCCTGCTTTTAAAAAGAACTGAAAGTCACTTACTTCTAATTTAAAAAATAATGCATGCTGGACTTTGAAAGTATGAAAACACAAAAAATAGTGCAAAGAAAAAAATCAGGTTACCACTAATTCCTAATCCAGAAATAAACTTAGCCTGAAAAATTCTACCTTGGAATTAGACAGTTAGGCTATTTCTAATCTTTTACTACTTTAAGCAATATTATAATGAACATCCTTGTACATTCATTTTTTAATACTTGTCTGAATATTATCTTACTATGAATTCCTTTAAATGGAATTGTGGGGTGAGAGGAGAAGCACACTTTTTAAAACTTTCAATAAATATTGCCAAATTACTCACAAATGATTATACAAATTTGGTACTCCAGCAGCAATGCAACAGTGTCTATTTCCCCTACTTCTCATCAAATCTTTTATATTACTTTGTATTTCACTACGTGCATAGCTGGTTGAATTTTTTCCCAAATGTTAACCTCTGGTATTTCTTCTCTTGTGAATTGCTTGTTCTGTCTTTTGCCCATTTTTTTGGAATATTCATCTTTTTTCATATATTTTAAGTTACTTGCATGGATAATGATATAATTTCTTTATTTGCATATACATTTCAAATGTCTTAATCACAATTTTCTACCTTCTGGTGTTTGACTTAATTTTATAGTTTTTATAATGTACAGAAACATTAAATTTTTTCACTGAATATAGTCAAATATGTTAACCTTTTATGGTTTCTGCTATGCATGTTATGCTTAGAAAAACTTTCCCACAACAAAACTGAGAAATAATCACTTATATTTTCCTATAGTTTTTTGGCAGTCACATATATGTATGTATGTATTTAAAAAAATTTTTTTTCAATAGGTTTTTGGGGAACAGGTGGTGTTTGTTTACATGAATAAGTTCTTTAGTGGTGATTTATGAGATTTTTGTGCACCCATCACCCGAGCAGTGTACACTATACCCAGTGTGTAGTCTTTTATCCCTTGCCACCCACCACCCTTTCCCCTGAGTCTTCAAAGTCCATTGTATCATTCTTAAGCCTTTGCATCCTCATAGCTTATGTCCCACATACTAATGAGAACATGTGATGTTTAGTTTTTCATTCTTCAGTTATTTCACTTAGAATAATAGACTCCAATTCCATCCAGGTTGCTGTGAATGCCATTATTTTGTTCCTTTTTATGGCTGAGTAGTATTCCATTGTATATATATACCACATTTTCTTTATCCGCTCGTTGATTGATGGGCATTTGGGATGGTTCCATGTTTTTGCAGTTGTAAATTGTGCTGCTATAAACAGGCATCGTGTGCAAGTGTCTTTTTCATATAATGACTTCTTTTCCTCTGGGTAGATACCCATTAGTGGGATTGCTGGATCAAATGGTAGATCTACATTTTTTTTTTTTTTTTGAGATGGAGTCTCGTTCTGTCACCTAGGCTGGAGTGAAGTGGCACGATCTCAGCTCACTGCAATCTCTGCCTCCCAAGTTCAAGCAATTCTCCTGCCTCAGCCTCCTGAGTTGCTGGAATTACAGGCACATGTCACCATGCCCGGCTAATTTTTGTATTGTTAGTAGAGCTGGAGTTTTACCAGCTTTACCGTTGGCCAGACTTGTCTTGAACTCCTGACCTCAAATGATCCACCCGCCTCGGCCTCCCAAAGTGCTGGGATTACAGGCATGTGCCACCACGCCCGGCCTACTTTTAGTTCTTTAAGGAATCTCCATACTGTTTTCCATAGTGGTTGTACTAGTTACATTCCCACCAACAGTGTAAAAGTGTTCCCTTTTCACCACATTCATGCCAACATCCACTATTTTTTTATTTTTTTATTGTGGCCATTCTTGCAGGAGTGGTATCACATTGTGGTTTTGATTTGCATTTCCTTGATCATTAGTGATGTTGAGCATTTTTTCATATGTTTGTTGGCAATTTATATATCTTCTTTTGAGAATTGTTTATTTTTGTCCTTAGCCCACTTTTTGATGGGATTGTTTGTTTTTTTCTTGATGATTTGTTTGAGTACCTTGTAGGTTCTGGATATTAGTTGTTTGTTGGATGTATAGATTGTGAAGATTTTCTCCCTCTCTGTAGGTTGTCTGTTTACTCTGCTGATTATTTACTTTGCTGTGTAGAAGCTTTTTAATTAAGTCCCATCTCTTTATCTTTGTTTTTGTTGCATTTGCTTTTGCGTTCTTGGTCATGAAGTGTTTGCCTAAGCCAATGTCTAGAAGGGCTTTTCCGATGTTATCTTCTATAATATTTATGGTTTCAGGTCTTAGATTTAAGTCTTTGATCCATCTTGAGTCAGTTTTTATATAAGGAGACAGATGAGGATCCAGTTTTAGTCTTCTATATGTGGCTTGCTAATTATCCCAGCACCATTTGTTGAATAGGGTGTCCTCTCCCCACTTTACGTTTTTGTTTGCTTTGTTGAAGATCAGTTGGCTGTAAGTATTTGGTTTTATTTCTGAGTTCTCTATTCTGTTCCATTGGTCTATGTGCCTATTTTTATACCAGTACCATGCTGTTTTGGTGACTATGGCCTTATAGTATAGTTTGAAGTCAGGTAATGTGATGAATCGGGTCTGTTCTTTTTGCTTAGTCTTGCTTTAGCTATGTGAGCTCTTTTTTTGGTTCCATATGAATTTTAGGATTGTTTTTTCTAGTTCTGTGAAGAATGATGGTGGCATTTTGATGGGAATTGCACTGCATTTGTAGATTGCTTTTGGCAGCATGGTCATTTTCACAATATTGATTCTACCCATCCAAGAACATGGGATGGTGTTTCCATTTGTTTGTGTCATCCATGATTTCTTTCAGCAGTATTTTGTAGTTTTCCTTGTAGAGGTCATTCACCTCCTTGATTAGGTATATTCATAGGTATCTTTATTTTTTGGCAGCTATTGTGAAAGGGGTTGAGTTCCTGATTTGATTCTCAGCTTGGTCACTGCTGGTGTATAGCAGAGCTACTGATTTATGTACATTCATTTTGTATCCTGACACTTTGCTGAATTCATTTACCAGTTCTAGGAGCTTTTTGGATGAGTCTTTAGGGTTTTCTAGGTATATGATCGTATCATCAGCAAACAGGAACAGTTTGACTTTCCCTTTACTGATTTGGATGCCCCTTTTTTTCTCTTGTCTGATTGCTCTGACTAGGACTTCCAGTACTATGCTGAATAGAAGTGGTGAAAGTGGGCCTCTTTATCTTGTTCCAGTTCTCTGGGGGAATGCTTTCAACTTTTCCCTGTTCAGTATAATGTTGGCTGTGTGTTTGTCATAGATGGCTTTTATTACCTTGAGGTATGTCCCTTCTATGCTGATTTTGCTGAGGGTTTTAATCATAAAGGGATGCTTTTTCTATGTCTATTGAGATGATGATGTGATTCTTGTTTTTAATTCTGTTTATGTGGTGTATCACATTTATTGACTTGCATATGTTAAACCACCCTTGCATCACTGGTATGAAATGCACTTGATCATGGAGGATTATCTTTTTGATGTGCTGTTAGTTTCAGTTCACTAGTATTTTGTTGAGGATTTTTGCATCTATGTTCATCAGGGATATTGGTCTGTAGTTTTCTTTTTTTGTTATGTCCTTCCCTGGTTTTAGTATTAGGGTGATACTGGCTCATAGAATTATTTAAGAGGATTCCCTCTTTCTCCATATTTTGAAATATTGTCAATAGGATTGGTACCAATTCTTCGTTGAATGTCTGACAGAATTCAGCTGTGAATCTGTCTGGTCCTGGACTTTTATTTGTTGGTAATTTTTAAATTACCATTTCAACCTCACTGCTTGTTATTGTTCTGTTCAGAGTTTCTATATCTTCCTGGTTGAATCCAGGAGGGTTGTATATTTCCAGGAATTTATCTGTGTCCTCTACATTTTGTAGTTTATGCATGTAAAGGTGTTCATAGTGGTCTTGAATAATCTTTTGTATTTCTGTAGTATCAGTTGTAATATCTCCCATTTCATTTCTAATTGAGTTTAGTTGGATCTTCTCACTTCTTTTCTTGGTTAATCTCACGAATGGTCTATCAATTTTATTTATCTTTGCAAAGAGCCAGCTTTTTGTTTCATTTATCTTTTGGTTTTTGTTTGTTTGTTTGTTTCTATTTCATTTAGTTCTGCTCTGATCTTCGTAATTTCTTTTCTTCTGCTGGGTATGGGTTTGGATTGTTCTTGTTTCTTCAGTTCTATAAGGTGTGACTTTAGATTGTCTATTTGTGCTCTTTCAGACTTTTCGATGTAGGCATTTAATGCTGTGAACCTTCCTCTTAGCACTGCTCTTGCTGTGTCCCAGAGGTTTTCATAGGTTGTATCAATATTATCGTTCAGTTCAAAGAATTTTTAAATTTCCATCTTGATTTCTTTGTTGACCCAACGATCACTCAGGAGCAGGTTATTTAATTTCAATATCTTTGTATAGTTTTGATGGTTCTTTTTGGAATTGATTTCCAATTTTATTCCATTGTGATCTGAGACAGTGTTTGATATAATTTTGATTTTCTTAAATTTACTGACTTGTTTTGTGACCCGTGATATGGTCTATCTCCGAGAATGTTCCACATGCTGATGAGAAGAATGTTCTGCAGTTGTTGGGTAGAATGTTCTGTAAATATCTGTTAGGTCAATTTGTTCTAGGGTATAGTTTAAGTTAATTGTTTCTTTGGTGATTTTCTGTTTTGGTGACCTGTCTAGTGCTGTCAGTGGAGTAATAAAGTCCCCTACTTTTATTGTGTTGCCATCTATCTCATTTCTTAGGTCTAGTAGTAATTGTTTTACAAATTTCAGAGCTCTAGTGTTAAGTGCATATATATTTAGAATTGTGATAGTTTCCTTTTGGACTAGTCTTTTTATCATTATATAATGTCTCTCTGTCTTTTTTAAACTGCTGTTGCTTTAAAGTTTGTTTTGTCTGACATAAGAATAGCTACTCCTGCTTCCTTTTGGTGTCCATTTACATGGAATGTCTTTTTCCACCCCTTTATCTTAAGTTTATGTGAGTCCTTATGTGTTAGGTGAGTTTCCTGAAGACAGCAGAAACTTGTTGGTGAATTCTTATCCATTTTGCAATTCTGTATCGTTTAAGTGGGGCATTTAGGGCATTTACATTCAATGTTGGTATTGAGATATGAGGTACTGTTCTATTCATCATGCTATTTGTTGCCTGAATACCTTGTTTTTTTTTCTTTCATTTTGTTATTGTTATATAGGTCCTGTGAGATTTATGCTTTAAGGAGGTTCTACTTTGGTGTATTTCAAGGATTTGTTTCAAGATCTAGAGCTCCCTTTAGCAGTTCTTGTAGTGCTGACTTGGTAGTGGCAAATTCTTTCAGCATTTGTTTGCCTGGAAAAGACTGTATCTTTCCTTCATTTATGAAGCTTAGTTTTGCTGGATACAAAATTCTTGGCTAATAATTGTTTTGTTTAGGGAGGCTAAAGAATAGGACTCCGATCCCTTCTAGCTTGTAAGGTTTCTGCTGAGAAATCTGCTGTTAATCTGATAGGTTTTCTTTTATACGTTACCTGATGCTTTTGCCTCACGGCTCTCAAGATTCTTTCCTTCGTCTTGACTTTAGATAACCTGATGACTATGTGCCTAGGTGATGATCTTTTTGTGATGAATTTCCCAGGTGTTCTTTGAGTTTCTTGTATTTGGATGTCTAGGTCTTTAGCAAGGCCAAGGAAGTTATCCTCGATTATTCCCTCAAAAATGTTTTCCAAACTTTTAAATTTCTCTTCTTCCTCAGGAATACCAATTATTCTTAGGTTTGGATGTTTAACATAGTCCCAAACTTCTTGGAGGCTTTTTTTATTATTCTTTTTTCTTTGTCTTTAATGGATTGGATTAACTCAAAAGCCTTGTCTTTGACCTCTGAAGTTCTTTCTTCTTGCTCAATGCTACTCCTGAGACTTTCCAGTGTATTTTGCACTTATCTAAGTGTCTCCTTGATTTCCAGAAGTTGTGATTGTTTTTTATTTATGCTATCTATTTCACTGAATAATTTTCCTTTCATGAACTATATAATCTTTTTTTAAAATTTCTTTAAGTTGGGCTTCACCTTTCTCTGGTGCCTCCTTGATTAGCTTGATATCAATCTTCTGAATTCTTTTTCTGGCAATTCAGATATTTCATCTTGCTTTGGATCCATTGCTGGTGAGCTGGTATGATCTTTTGGGGGTATTAAAGAACCTTGTTTTGTCATACTACCAGAATTGTTTTTCTGGTTCCTTCTCATTTGGGTAGACTATGTTAGAGGGAAGATATGGGATTCAAGAGCTGCTATTCAGATTCTTTTGTCCCATAGGGTGCTCCCATGATGTAGTGTTCTCCCCCTTCTCCTAGGAATGGTATAAACCAAACTGTAGTGATCGTTTTTGATGTTCTGGGTCTAGCCACCCAGCAGAGCTATGAGCTGGTACTGGGGAATGTCTGCAAAGAGTCCTGTGATGTGATCTGTCTTTAGGTCTTGCAGCTGTGGATACCAGCACTTGCTCTGGTGGAGGTAGCAGCGGGGTGAAGTGGACTCTGTGAGGGTCCTTGGTTGTGTTTTTGTTTAGTGCACTGGTTTTGTGTTGGTTGGCCTTCAGCCAGGAGGTGGCGCTTTCAAGAGCACATCAGCTATGGGCCTACAGGGAGGATGCAAATTTGCCCTAGGGACACCTGGTTAAGTATTCAGATTTCTTGGGCAGTGGGTAGGGCAATAGAGCTCCCAAGAGATTATGTCCTTTGTCTTCAGCTACCAGGGTGGGCAGAGAAAGATCACCAGGTAGTCACAGAGATAGGTGTGTCTTAGCTCAGCCCTTCCTCGGGCAGGGCTTGCTGCGGCTGCTGTCGGGGATGGGGGTGTGGTGCCCAGTCCAATAAGAGTTATATTCCCGGGAGAATATGGCGCCTCTGCTGAGTCATACAAGTCGCCAGGGAAGTGGAGGAAAGCCAGCAGTCACAGGCCTCACCCCACTCACACACAGCCCACAGTCCGAAAGTCTGCTCTCACTACTACCGTGCTCCCCATCAACAGCACCGAGTCTATTTCCAGAGAGCTGGTGACCAGGGCTGAGAACTTTCCCCAGACCATGAAGTCTCTCCACTAAGAAAGCAAGCAAACAGCTTTTCAGCATTTCAGGGAACCTGCAGCAGTGACCCAGTTCCTTCAAAGGGTCTTTGGATTCTCTCGGCTTTTCTGGTATGTTCCTGTGGTGGTTCTTGGAGCAAAAGTTCACAATGTGAGTCTTCACACACTGCTCTGTCCAAGCGGGAGCGCAAGCTAGTCCTGCCTCCTATCTGCCATCTTGCCTTATCTCTGTATTTATATTTTATATGTAACATTTTAATCCGTGTGGATTTTACTTTTGTATTTTGTATTTTTGTAGGTGAATAATTAATCAATTATCCTAACACAACATTTCACAAACTTTGTTTCAAGAACTTTTTGTTCAGGGAGATGCAGATTGGTGCTGTGAAAAATGGATCCTAAGATCAAGTAATTTTGAATAGACTTGCATACTATGAGGCCTCTTTTAGGAATTAATGATAACCACTAATGGTCTAATAAGGAATAAGGAACTGCAATTACCTTTGACTTAGGGCTTTACAAATGTATTTAAGCATGAAACACTCTTTGTGACACAACTAGTAAATGCAAATATTTATTGCATGCCTGCTAAATAGGGATTTAAAGTTAAGATATAGTAGTCCTTATCCTCAAAAGCTGACAACCAAAAGGGAATTATAGTCTAATAAGGACCATTTTAGAGGCAGAATATGATACTTCCCAAAAGAGTGAACAAAATCTTTAGGGCTTGTCAATTAAATGTATCTAAGGGTGAGGAAAAGGGAAAAGTCAGACAAGAGTCTCAGTGATTTGTAGACAGAACCATGTTGCGTCTGAATGTGTTCAGCTTGCACTGAAAGCACAACACTTGAATGGAGGCAATGAAAAATCTAGAACAAAATTCAGGTGAGAAGAGCAGAGATATAGATTTGGAAGAAAACTGCATAGAGGAGATAGATAAAGGCCTCAAAATAAATGAATACTATGAGACATGTCCTAGCACAGGCTGCTATAACAAGATACCATAGATTGGGTGGCTTAAATAACAAATAAAATAACAAATTCATTTTTCACAGTTTTGGAGGCTGGGAAGTCCAAGATCAAAGTACACCAGATTCTGTTCTTGGTAAGAGCCTCCTTCTTGTCCTACAATTTCACTGTGTGCTCATATGACCTCTTTTTTGTGTGTGCTCATGTGGAGGGAGAGAGAGCTCTGACGTCTCCTCCTCTTCTTATAAGAGGAATAATCTCATCATGGGGGATCCACCCTCATGACCTCACCTAAACCTAATTAACGCCCAAAGACCCCACCCCCATATACTATTACATTGGAGATTAGGACTTCAACATATGAATTCTGAGGGAGGAGAGGAGAGGGAGGAAACAAACATTCAGTCCATAACAAGAGAGATGAGCCGAGAGCCACAACTTGAGCCCCAGGATGTGGCCACATTTAGGAAGATGCAAGAAGGCGAGTTAGGGAAAGGAAAAATATGGCAGCCTCAGAGAGGAAGGAGGAGAGTCTTAAATAGATTTAGAAGTCCTTGGGATATGTTTGTTTTACAGGATCATTCTGAGATATTTTATTAAAAATTAATTGGCAATTTCCTGGATAAAAAGCTTAGGACAGAGGGTCAAGTGACTTGGTCAGGGGACCATCATGAATCAGCAACTAAACATCAGTTCACCACATATTAAATGCAACTGGAAAAGCAGAGCTGAGAAAGGAGAGAAAACTGAAATTCTACCAATTAAGCAACAAGGATGACATCATTTCAAAATGCAAAGAGTTCAAAATACATGGCTGTAATTTTGAAATCATCATGACTATATACTAAATTGGCCTTTCTGCTTTGGTGTAGCTCCAGGGCCCAGCTCCTAACCACTGTGCTAGAGACCTCCTTCTGCTTTGGGAAGGCAGCAGAAAACAGACTAGTTGCAGGAAGAAGGGTAGTGCTGGGTATTGCATGAACTGGGGCTATCTGAGGTTAATGGTCAACTTTCTAGTTCTGAAGTGGGGTGAGTGGGCAGGAGAGTTTACTAATAATGAGTAAGACCACAAGAACCTTCTGAAAGAGTTGGCTGAGTCACAGACTCTTAGGGTTTGTGAGAAATGTTTGATAAACTATAGGTGGAAGATCCCAAGTTCTGATGTTGGGGATCAGGTATTCAGCTGGATCACAAATCTCTTCTTCTGCTTACAGTTTTTCTTATGGCTTCCATAAGGGCACCTTCTCTGGTTTGTCTCCTTTCTCTTTGATTGCTTGTTCTTTGATTCTTCATTCTCCTCTCACTCCTTAAATTCCATGTTTATAGACATGGCTCCCTAATTCCAAGTCTTTTATGTATAAAATCAGTTTCTTAAACTATTTTGGAAGATGTTTTCATGTTATCCCATTTCCATTCGTATTTCTTCTTTCGCCATAAACAAAACCAACCTCCCTAGCCCTCCACTCCCAGTTATCACCACCTGTAGAAGTGTTTCCAGAGGTAGTGGGGGCTCAGAGCAGTGCCAGTGTGTAGAGGTCTTGCTGGCACTGGCAGAGACTAGGTAGAGGTAACATTCAGTTAAGCTACCATGTTCACTCTCAGCCTCTTCTATTCAGACACTGGATTATTATTAGTGCCTCTAAAGATGGTTCACTGCTACAGTTTGCTTGTTTGTTCCCTCAAACCCCATGTTTAAATTTTATTCCCAATGTTGGAGGTAGGGCCTAATGGGAGGTGTTTGGGCCATGGGGGCGGATCTCTCATAAACAGATTAATCCCCACCCTGGGTATGGGGGGAGGGGGAATGAATGAGTTTCTCCTTTATTAGTTTCTGTGAAAATTGATTGTTAAAAGGAGCCTGGCACTTCCTTCTCTATCTCTTGCTTGCACTCTCACCATGTGATCTCTGCATATGCCAGCTCCACTTCACCTTCTGCCATGAGTGGAAGCTGCCTGAAGCCCTCACCAGAAGAAGCAGATTCTGGCACCAGCTTCTTGTACAGCCTGCAGAACCATGAAACACATAAACCTCTTTTCTTTATAAATTACCCAGCCTCAGGTATTCCTTTATAGTAACATAAATGGACTAAGATAGTCCACCATGTGTCACTGGTTTAAATTTTGAGATAGATCCTCAACACTGATAAAGGGATCACTAACATTATTGTTAACACACACTGATTGCTTACTATGTGCTAATCATTGTTCTAAGTACTTTACATTAATTCACTGATTTAATCATTATTAACTCTTTAAAGATGAGAAGGGTGGCTGGTAAGACGGCCGAATAGGAACAGCTCCGGTCTGCAGCTCCCAATGAGATCAATGCAGAAGGTGGGTGACTTCCGCATTTCCAACTAGGGTATCTGGCTCATCTCACTGGGATTGGTTAGACAGTGGGTGCAGCCCATGGAGGGTGAGCAGAAGCAGGATGGGGCATCACCTCACCAGGAAATGCAAGGAGTCGGGGAACTCCCTCCCCTACCCAAGGGAAGCCATGAGGGACTGTGCCATGAGGAACAGTGCACTCCAGCCCAGATACTATGCTTTTCCCACAGTCTTTGCAACCCACAGACCAAGAGATTCCCTTGGCTGCCTACACCACCAGGGCCCTGGGTTTCAAGCACAAAACTGAGTGGCCATTTGGGCAGACACTGAGCTAGCTGGAGGAGGTTTTTTTTTTTTTTGGTTTTTTTTCATATCCCAGTGACACCTGGAATGACAGCAAGACAGAACCATTCATTCCCCTGGAAAGGGGACTGAAGCCGGGAAGTCAAGTGGTCTAGCTCAGTGGATCCCACCCCCATGGAGCCCAGCAAGCTAAGATCCACTAATTTGAAATTCTCGCTCCCAGAACAGCAGTCTGAAGTCAATCTGGGACACTCCAGCTTGGTGGAGGGAGGGGCTCTGCCATTACTGAAGCTTGAGTAGGTGGTTTTCCCCTCACCATATAAACAAAGCCTCTGGGAAGTTTGAACTGGGCGGAGCCCACCACAGTGCCACAAAGACACTGTAGCCAGATTGCCTCTCTAGATCCTCCTCTCTGGGCAGGGCATCTCTGAAAGAAAGGCAGCAGCCCCAGTCAGGGGCTTATAGAGAAAACTCCCATATCCCTGGGACAGAGCACCTGGGGGAAGGGGTGGCTGTGGGCACAGCTTCAGCTGACTTAAATGTTCTGCCTGCCGGCTCTGAAGAGAGCAGTGGATCTCTCAGCACAGTGCTTAAGCTCTGCTAAGGGACAGACTGCCTCCTCAAGTGGGTCCCTGACCCACATGCCTCCTGGCTGGGAGACACCTCCCAGCAGGGGTTGACAGACACCTCATACAGAAGAGCTTCGACTGGCATCCAGTGGGTGCCCCTCTGGGATGAAGCTTCCAGAGAAAGGAACAGGCAGCAATCTTTGCTGTTCTACAGCCTCTGCTAGTGATACCCAAGCAAACAGGGTCTGGAGTGGACCTCCAGCAAACTCCAGCAGACCTGCAGCAGAGAGGCCTGATTGTTAGAAGGAAAACTAACAAACAGAAAGGGTAGCATCAATACAACTAAAAGGATATCCACACAGAAACCCCATCTGAAGGTCACCAACATCAAAGACCAAAGGTAGATTAATCCACAAAGATGAGGAAAAACCAGCACAAAAAGGCTGAAAATTCCAAAAACCAGAATCCCTCTTCTCCTCCAAAGGATCACAACCCCTCGCTAGCAAGGGAACAAAATGGATGGAGAATGACTTTGATGAATTGACAGTAGGCTTCAGAAGGTGGGTAATAACAAACCCCTCCGAGCTAAAGGGGCATGTTCTAATCCAATGCAAGGACGCTAAGAACCTTGATAAAAGGTTAGAGGAATTGCTAGCTAGAATAGCCAGTTTAGAGAAGAACATAAATGACCTGATGGAGCTGAAAAACACAGCACAAGAACTTCGTGAAGCATACACAAGTATCAACAGTTGAATCGATCAAGCAGAAGAAAGGATATCAGAGATTGAAGATCAACTTAATGAAATAAAGCATGAAGACAAGATTAGAGAAAAAAAGAATAAAAAGAATGAACAAAGCCTCTAAGAAATATGAGACTATGTGAAAAGACCAAACCTATGTTTGACTGGTGTACCTGAAACTGACAGGGAGAATGGAACAAAGTTGGAAAACACTCTTCAGCATATTATCCAGGAGAACTTCCCCAACCTAGCAAGGCAGGCCAACATTCAAATTCAGGAAACATGGAGAACACCACAAAGTTACTGCTCGAGAATAGCAACCCCAAGACACATAACTGTCAGATTCACCAAGGTAGAAATGAAGGGAAAAAATGTTAAGGGCAGCCAGAGAGAAAGGGCAGGTTACCCACAAAGGGAAGCCCATCAGACTAACAGCATATCTCTCTGCAGAAACCCTACAAGCCAGAAGACAGTGGGGGCCAATATTCAATATTCTTAAAGAAAAGAATTTTCAACCCAGAATTTCATATCCAGCCAAACTAAGCTTCACAAGCAAAGGAGAAATAAAAGCCTTTACAGACAAGCAAATTCTGAGAGATTTTGTCACCACCAGGCCTGCGTTACGAGAACTCCTGAAGGAAGCACTAAATGTGGAAAGGAAAAACTGGTACCAGCCACTGCAAAAACATACCAAATTGTAAAGACCATCGACATTATGAAGAAACTGCATCAACTAGTGGGCAAAATAACCAGCTAGCAACATAATGACAAGATCAAATTCAGGAGCCAAGATGGCCAAATAGGAACAGCTCCAGTCTACAGCTCCCAGTGTGAGCGACACAGAAGACGGGTGATTTCTGCATTTCCAACTGAGGTACCAGGTTCATCTCACTGGGGAGTGCTGGACAGTGGGTGCAGGACAGTGGGTGCAGTGCACCATGCATGAGCCGAAGCAGGGTGAGGCATTGTGAGGCATCGCCTCACCATGGCACACCAGGAGATTATATCCCGCACATGGCTCCAAGGGTCCTACACCCACGGAGCCTCGCTCATTGCTAGCACAGCAGTCTGAGATCAAACTGCAAGGTGGCAGTGAGGCTTGGGGAGGGGCACCCGCCATTGCCTAGGCTTGAGTAGGTAAACAAAGCGGCTGGGAAGCTCGAACTGGGTGGAGCCCACCACAGCTCAAGGAGGCCTGCCTGCCTCTGTAGACTCCACCTCTGGGGGCATGGCACAGACAAACAAAAGGCAGCAGTAACCTCTGCAGACTTAAATGTCCCTGTCTGACAGCTTTGAAGAGAGCAGTGGTTCTCCCAGCACACAGTTTGAGATCTGAGAACGGGCAGACTGCCTTCTCAAGAGGGTCCCTGACCCCCGAGTAGCCTAACTGGGAGGCAACCCCCAGTAGGGTCGGACTGACACCTCACACAGCCAGGTACTCCTCTGAGACAAAACTTCCAGAGGAACAATCAGGCAGCAGCATTTGTGGTTCACCAATACCCGCTGTTCTGCAGCTACCGCTGCTGATACCCAGGCAAACAGGGTCTGGAGTGGACCTCCAGCAAACTCCAACAGACCTGCAGCTGAGGGTCCTGACTGTTAGAAGGAAAACTAACAAACACAAAGGACATCCACACCAAAAACCCATCTGTACGTCACCATCATCAAAGACCAAAGGTAAATAAAACCACAAAGATGGGGAAAAAACAGAGCAGAAAAACCGGAAACTCTGAAAATCAGAGCGCCTCTCCTCCTCCAAAGGAACACAACTCCTCACCAGCAATGGAACAAAGCTGGATGGAGAATGACTTTGACGGGTTGAGAGAAGAAGGCTTCAGAAGATCAAACTACTCTGAGCTAAAGGAGGAAGTTCAAACCAATGGCAAAGAAGTTAAAAACCTTGAAAAAAAATTAGATGAATGGCTAACTAGAATAACCAATGCAGAGAAGTCCTTAAAGGACCTGATGGAGCTGAAAACCACGGCACAAGAACTACGTGACGAATGCACAAGCTTAGTAGCCAATGCGATCAACTGGAAGAAAGGGTATCAGCGATGGAAGATGAAATAAATGAAATGAAGAGAGAAGAGAAGTTTAGAGAAAAAAGAATAAAAAGAAACGACCAAAGCCTCCAAGAAATATGGGACTATGTGAAAAGACCAAATCTATGTCTCATTGGTGTACCTGAAAGTGATGGGGAGAATGGAACCAAGTTGGAAAACACTCTGCAGGATATTATCCAGGAGAACTTTCCCAACCTAGCAAGGCAGGCCAACATTCAAATTCAGGAAATACAGAGAACGCCACAAAGATACTCCTCGAGAAGAGCAACTCCAAGACACATAATTGTCAGATTCACCAAAGTTGAAATGAAGGAAAAAATGTTAAGGGCAGCCAGAGAGAAAGGGCAGGTTACCCACAAAGGGAAGCCCATCAGACTAACAGCATATCTCTCTGCAGAAACCCTACAAGCCAGAAGAGAGTGGGGGCCAATATTCAACATTCTTAAAGAAAAGAATTTTCAACCCAGAATTTCATATCCAGACAAACTAAACTTCATAAGTGAAGGAGAAATAAAATACTTTACAGACAAACAAATGCTGAGAGATTTTGTCACCACCAGGCCTGCCTTACGAGAACTCCTGAAGGAAGCACTAAACATGGAAAGTAACAACCGGTACCAGCCACTGCAAAAACATTCCAAATTGTAAAGACCATCAAGGCTAGGAATTAACTGCATGAACTAATGAGCAAAATAACCAGCTAACATCATAATGACAGGATCAAATTCACACATAACAATATTAGCCTTAAATGTAAATGGGCTAAATGCTCCAATTAAAAGACACAGACTGGCAAATTAGATAAAGACCCATCAGTGTGCTGTATTCAGGAAACCCATCTCACGTGCAGAGACACACATAGGCTCAAAATAAAGGGATGGAGGAAGATCTACCAAGAAAATGGAAAACAAAAAAAAGGCAGGGGTTGCAATCCTAGTCTCGGATAAAACAGACTTTAAACCAACAAAGATCAAAAGAGACAAAGAAGGCCACTACATAATGGTAAAGGGATCAATTCAAAAAGAAGAGCTAACTATCCTAAATATATATGCACCCAATACAGGAGCATCCAGATTCATAAAGCAAGTCCTTAGTGACCTACAAAGAGACTTAGACTCCCACACAATACTAATGCGAGACTTTAACACCCCACTGTCAACATTAGACAGATCAACGAGACAGAAAGTTATCAAGGATATCCAGGAATTGAACTCAGCTCTGCACCAAGCAGACCTAATAGACATCTACAGAATTCTCCACCCCAAATCAACAGAATATACATTCTTTTCAGCACCACATCACACCTATTCCAAAATTGACCACATAGTTGGAAGTAAAGCACTCCTCAGCAAATGTAAAACAACAGAAATTATAACAAACTGTCTCTCAGACCACAGTGCAATCAAACTAGAACTCGGGAATCAGAAACTCACTCAAAACCACTCAACTACATGGAAAGTGAACAACCTGCTCCTGAATGACTACTGGGTACATAACAAAATGAAGGCAGAAATAAAGATGTTCTTTGAAACCAACAAGAACAAAGACACGACATACCAGAACCTCGGGGACACATTCAAAGCAGTGTGTAGAGGGAAATTTATAGCACTAAATGGCCACAAGAGAAGATCTAAATTGACATCCTAACATCACAATTAAAAGAACTAGAGAAGCAAGAGCAAACACAATCAAAAGCTAGCAGAAGGCAAGAAATAACTAAGATCAGAGCAGAACTGAAGGAGATAGAGACACAAAAAACCCTTCAAAAAATCAATGAATCCAGGAGCTGGTTTTTTGAAAAGATCAACAAAATTGATAGACCACTAGCAAGACTAATAAAGAAGAAAAGAGAGATGAATCAAATAGATGCAATAAAAAATGACAAAGGGGATATCACCACAAATCCCACAGAAATACAAACTACCATCAGAGAATACTATAAACACCTCTATGCAAATAAACTAGAAAATCTAGAAGAAATGGATAAATTCCTCAACACATACACTGTCCCAAGACTAAACCATGAAGAAGTTGAATCTCTGAATAGACCAATAACAGGCTCTGAAATTGAGGCAATAATGAATAGCTTACCAACCAAAAAAAGACCAGGACCAGATGGATTCACAGCCGAATTCTACCAGAGGTACAAGGAGGAGCTGGTACCATTCCTTCTGAAACTATTCCAATCAACAGAAAAAGAGGGAATCCTCCCTAACTCATTTTATAAGGCCAGCATCATCCTGACACCAAAGCCTGGCAGAGACACAACAAAAAAAGAGAATTTTAGACCAATATCCTTGATGAACATTGATGCAAAAATCCTCAATAAAATACTGGCAAACCAAATCCAGCAGCACATCAAAAAGCTTATCCACCATGATCAAGTGGGCTTCGTCCCTGGATGCAAGGCTGGTACAACATATGAAAATCAATAAACGTAATCCAGCATATAAACAAAACCAAAGACAAAAACCACATGATTATCTCAATACATGCAGAAAAGGCCTTTGACAAAATTCAACATCCCTTCATGCTAAAAACTCTCAATAAATTAGGTATTGATGGGACGTATCTCAAAATAATAAGAGCTATCTATGACAAACCCATAGCCAATATCATACTGAATGGACAAAAACTGGAAGCATTCCCTTTGAAAACTGGCACAAGACAGGGATGCCCTCTCTCACCACTCCTATTCAACGTAGTGTTGGAAGTTCTGGCCAGGGCAATCAGGCAGGAGAAGGAAATAAAGGGTATTCAATTAGGAAAAAAGGAAGTCAAATTGTCCCTGTTTGCAGATGACATGATTGTATATCTAGAAAACCCCCTTGTCTCAGGCCAAAATCTCCTTAAGCTGATAAGCAACTTCAGCAAAGTCTCAGGATACAAAATCAATGTGCAAAAATCACAAGCATTCTTATACACCAATAACAGACAAACAGAGAGCCAAATCATGAGTGAACTCCCATTCACAATTGCTTCAAAGAGAATAAAATACCTAGGAATCCAACTTACAAGGGATGTGAAGGACTTCTTCAAGGAGAACTACAAACCACTGCTCAGTGAAATAAAAGAGGATACAAACAAATGGAAGAACATTCCATGCTCATGGGTAGGAAGAATCAATATCATGAAAATGGCCAAACTGCCCAAGGTAATTTATAGATTCAAAACCATCCCCATCAAGCTACCAATGACTTTCTCTACAGAATTGGAAAAAACTACTTTAAAGTTCATATGGAACCAAAAAAGAGCCCGCATCGCCAAGTCAATCCTAAGCCAAAAGAACAAAGCTGGAGGCATCATGCTACCTGACTTCAAACTATACTACAAGGCTACAGTAACCAAAACAGCATGGTACTGGTACCAAAACAGAGATATAGACCAATGGAACAGAACAGAACCCTCAGAAATAATGCTGCATATCTACAACTATCTGATCTTTGACAAACCTGAGAAAAACAAGCAATGGGGAAAGGATTCCCTATTTAATAAATGGTGCTGGGAAAACTGGCTAGCCACATGTAGAAAGCTGAAACTGGATCCCTTCCTTACACCTTATACAAAAATTAATTCAAGATGGATAAAAGACTTAAATATTAGACCTAAAACCATACAAACCCTAGAAGAAAACCTAGGCAATACCATTCAGGACATACGCATGGGCAAGGACTTCACGTCTAAAACACCAAAAGCAATGGCAACAAAAGCCAAAATTGACAAATGGGATCTAATTAAACTAAAGAGCTTCTGCACAGCAAAAGAAACTACCATCAGAGTGAACAGGCGACCTACAGAATGGGAGAAAATTTTTGCAACCTACTCATCTGACAAAGGGCTAATATCCAGAATCTACAATGAACTCAAACAAATTTACAAGAAAAAAACAAACAACCACATCAAAAAGTGGGCAAAGAATATGAACAGACACTTCTCAAAAGAAGATATTTATGCAGCCAAAAAACACATGAAAAAATGGTCATCATCACTGGCCATCAGAGAAATGCAAATCAAAACCACAATGAGATATCTCACACCAGTTAGAATGACAATCATTAAAAAGTCAGGAAACAACAGGTGCTGGAGAGGATGTGGAAAAATAGGAACACATTTACACTGTTGGTGGGACTGTAAATTAGTTCAACCATTGTGGAATACAGTGTGGCCATTCCTCAGGGATCTAGAACTAGAAATACCATTTGACCCAGCAATCCCATTACTGGGTATATACCCAAAGGATTATAAATCATGCTGCTATAAAGACACATGCACACGTATGTTTATTGCGGCACTATTCACAATAGCAAAGACTTGGAACCAACCCAAATGTCCAACAATGATAGACTGGATTAAGAAAACGTGGCACATATACACCATGGAATACTATGCAGCCATAAAAAATGATGAGTTCACGTCCTTTGTAGGGACATGGATGAAGCTGGAAACCATCATTCTCAGTAAACTATCGCAAGGACAGAAAACCAAACACCGCATGTTGTCACTCATAGGTGGGAATTGAACAATGAGAACACATGGAAACAGGAAGGGGTACATCACACACTGGGGCCTGTAGGGGTGTGGGGGGACAAGGGGAGGGATAGCATTAGGAGAAATACCTAATGTAGATGATGGGTTGATGGGTGCAGCAAATCATCATGGCACGTGTATAACTATGCAACAAACCTGCATGTTCTGCACATGTATCACAGAACTTAAAGCATAATAATTTAAAAATAATAATAAATAAAAAGTCTTTAAAATTAAAAAAAAAAGATGAGAAAACTAAGGCACAAAGAGGTTAAATAACTTACCCAACTAGTAAGTGTAGGAGCCAGGATTGTGCCCCAGCAGTGATATATTTTCCCCCTCCTAGTTCAATTCTATACATCCTGGGGATCATGCATAGCCCACCTAGGCAACTACAATAGAGATGGCAATAGCCTTGATTGATCTGCAATGTTCTGTAGTGAAGAAGAAGGAGAAAAGACGAAGAAGAAGATGAAGACGAAGATGAAGATGAAGAAGACAAAGAAGAAGTGAAGAAAAGAAGGAAGGAAGAAGGAAGAAAGAAGAACCACCACCACAACAACAATCTGAAGGAATAGGGGTGATTCAAGAAGTAAGCTGACTAAAGAAATTACATATAATTCACAGTGCAAGTGCTGTGGTGAAAGGTGGGTAAGGTATGCTTTAAAGGCTAAAATTCTCTCTGCCTTTTATTTTTCATTATGGAACCTACAGTTATTTATAATGGTTGACTCCTTGACAGGAAGAAAATATTCCAAATTGCCGAACTGATTTTTTTTTACACTGCCTATAACCCTCTCCAACAAAGCTGGAAACTCCCTTACTCAGGTCAAGGAGATGGTGTTTGGTTTTATTTTAAATTGCGGTAAAAGAGACATCACACAAAATTTACCATTACATGCATTTTTATTTTACAGTTTGGTGGCATGACATATGTTCACATCATTGTTGCACTCACTCTTGTAGTCTGATTTTTAAGACAAGCCTGGATCACAACATAAGAGTCACAATTTGTCAAATAACAGCCACTCCCTTCCCCACAAGGAGTTAGATCCAAGCTGTCTAACTCCTGATATAGTACAAAAACAATTCTGGATGGAGAGAAGAGAAACACAGTGGTAAGAGGCAAATGGTTCGGACAGTATTAAGAAATGGAGTTGGGTTCGCGACCAGCCTCACCAACATGATGAAACCCCGTCTCTACCAAAAATACAAAAATTAGCCAGGTGTGGTGGCGCAAGCCTGTAATCCCAGCTACTCTGTAGGCTGAGGCAGAAGAATCACTTGAACCTGGGAGGCGGAGGTTGCAGTGAGCCAAGATCGCACCATTGCACTCCAGCCTGGGCAACAGAGCAAGACACCGTCTCAAAAAAAAAAAAAAAAGAAAGAAAGAAAAGAAAAAAAGAAAAAGAAATGGAGTTGGGTGCAAAGCAAAGACACAGATATGTAAAGTTAGTGTGAGGCAGGGAAACAAGACTTCCAAATGCCAGCAAATGACTCTGGTGCCATCCTACCTCCCTAACCTGCCGTCCTTCTTGCTTCCTGCTAAACCCTCCTGGAATGCCCTTTCTCTCTCATTTCTCACTCCACACCATCTCTAGCCCAGGAAAACTTGCTCTAATCTTCACTGCATTCATTCATGACCACCCACCACATTTGCAGGTATTTCACTTCTTATTGAAATACATAATGTCAACATCGCACTGCTTTAGATTGTTATTTAGCCCTTTCATGTGCTTCTGACTTGTTCCTCAAAATCAGTGAAGGCTCCCCCAAGTCAGGGACCACATCTTAGGTATGATTCTTCATTAGTCCCACTTCCCATCCACCACCATCCCTCATAAAGCTGACCACATAATAGGCATTCAATGAATACTTGTTGACTCAAATCCCATTATTGTGGAAAACCTTCTAAGTGACCTTTGCATGAGTAAGTTCTCAATCTTTAACTTTCTATTTTTATGTGGCATGCTATGGAGATCCATTGTTTGAAATTGCTTCCAGAATTTCTGTTTACTAAGTATGGTTTGAGTTATTTAGTGCAGGCAAAAAAAAAAAAAAATGACTGTTAGCTGCCGGAAAACATTTTTTATAACATTGTTATTGGCAACTCATGCTGACATGGAACTAGTTCTTTATTTTGGCTGAACTTTGAACACAGATTCACATTTTCTAAGTTTCTTTTGGAGTCAACTTTACTCCCATAATAATTTCCTAAGATTGCCAGCTAAATCTCTCGATATGAAGCAGAAATGGCCTGTATATAGAAGAATGATCTAGCTAAAAGTCCAAAGTCTGTGCTCATTTTACTGCCTTTAGTTAAAATGTTCTGCTAGCAGCAAGGCTGTAATTCCCAAATGTTCACCATATGCACAAGCCCAAGAAAATCAAACAATTTTCTGTTGTAATTGGGTAATAATATGGCCTACCTTCTGTCTTACCATTTGAGTTTGCAATGTGAGCAATAGCAAACACATACCGTTTCTCTCGAGGAAGAACAAAGATTTTCAGGTCAGTATTATTCAAGAATGCACAGCACACAACACCCCAAATTCTGTGATACCAATGACTGCCCCATCTTCCCAACATGAAACACTCATCATGGAGGTTTCTTTTCTTTTCTTTTTCTTTTTTTGAGAAACGGTCTGGCTTTGTCACCCAGGCTGGAGTGCAACAACGTGATTTTGGCTCACTGCAACCTCCTCTGCCTCCTGGGCTCAAGTCATCCTCCCACCTCAGCCTCTCATGTAGCTGGGACTACAGGGACACACCACCATGCCTGGCTAATTTGTATGTATGTATGTATGTATGTATGTATGTATGTATGTATGTATGTATGTAGAGACAGGGTTCCGCCATGTTGCTCAGGCTGGTCTTGAACTCCTGAGTTCAAATGATCCACCCAGCCTCCAGGCATGAGCCACCATGCCCAGCTGGTTTCTTAATGATGATAAATAAGCATATTATAATATTTTAAATTTATTAAACTTCCTTGCATTTAAATTCCATCTTCCAATTAGATTGCAAATTAGAAGTGAATAAGACTTTTTTACATTTGTTTGTTTCACTTATGCTTTGAAACCAATAACTTAATAATTGAATTGACTCATGATTAAGTCAACAAAAGTTGAAGTGGCTTTTTCCATCAGAGATGGCAGATTTTTTGGTATTCTGCATTCAGAGGATGTTACCATCTTTTATTTATAAATTTAACTTATAAATATTTATCCTTTATTTAATCAGAGGGTTGCCTAGACCAAACGGCATAGTTAATACAGAAACCTAGAAGGTGCCAACTTTCTACTATGTTTGATTTTTCAAGTATTTTAAAAAATTTTTGAACTACTCTTTAGCTTTTTTCCCAGGCTGAATCCCATTTCAGATGGCTTTTCTCCTTGAACCAATGCAAGACCAGCTGATAAATGGTACAGTTTACCAATAGGCTAGTACTTCTACCCCATGTTGAATAGCTAAGTCCCTAATGCTCAGCAACACAGGCAATAATCTGTAAGACTAATCACACAAAGGAGGTAGGACATCTCCTTATCCCTACCATCCAGATCTTTCATGGACCCCGGGTTCTTCCATCTCCCCAGGGTACTGGTAGCCAGTGGGATTCCATTCCATGCTGTGTACATCAGATAACTGGCTCAGTCCCACTCCCCACCTCTCTTTTTTTATTCTCTTCTCTCCTCTTCCTCCCCTCACCAGCCTTTCCTTAAGAACCACAGTCCTATGAGACCCCCAGGAGACTATTCTACTGTCTTCCCCTGCACTGACCTGGGCATGCAGGAGCCTTTGCCTCACACTCCTGCTAGCTCTTCCTTCCCACCAACCCCACAGATGCTTCCTGAAGCCCCTGTGCCCTCCCTTCCCGCCCAAACCACGCCAGGAAGTCCCATGCCCCATCCTTCCCAACCCGGGGAACATGCGAAAGTCAGGCCAGTGTAAGTGAGGGGTTGGGAGTGAGAGGCAGGAAGGGGGTACTTTTATTTCTGGGGTTGTGAGAAAATAAATTCCTGTAATCCCAAGTTAGAATCTGGAACAAACAAAAACAAAGTAATAAGGAACGATTTGTTTTTCTAGTGCTTAGAGTATTGTTCCTTTGGCCATATTCAATGATGTTGTGAAGACTGGCCTGGAAAACTATACCACCTCTTGATTTAAAAAATAAATCTGGGGTGTGGGCTGCATTTTGAGCTCCACTAGTCTACAATCTAACCCAATCTAACTCCATCCCCTTCCTTAATTCCACTACTACTTTCCCTGATTGAGCCCATTGATTCTCACAGCTTCAGTTCTCACCTCTAAAAAATGAGTCAAAACCTAGAATTCAAGTGCAACTTATCCTCTGAGCACCAGGCACACATTTCATCTTGGAGATGTGCCCCAGGCCAGGCTGTCCTCAAAGTTTCCCAACTCAATAAGGTACCCACTGAGCTCCATATCTTCCCCCTCATATCTGCCCACGGCCAGTGCAGACAGACCTATGAAAATATTTAAAAGGCACTCCCCTGGGGGCAGTGGGGAGATATGAAAAATGAAATATGAAATGTGCCTGCCCCTTCCTTTGGGGGACTAGGAGCACAGCTTCCCAGGTCAGAGGCTCCCAGGTCAAGGAGCTCAGCTCAGCTACCAGAGCACACGCTCAATTTCAACTCTGGGCTGTCATTCTTTTACGGAAGCTCCTCCTCCCCTCTTCCCTCTTTCTGTCACTATTTTCTCAGTCACCAGGGTTGAACATCTACCAGTCAGCTTGGAAGTCAGTTCTTCCAGCAAGTCTTCCCTGACCCTCGGAGTTAGGATGCGGTGCCCTCAGTGTCCCGTGCCCCCCTCCCCCATCTGTCCCCGCCCCTTAGACTTAGCGCGCTGCAGTGCAGCCCCCTGTCACTTCCCTGCAAATCACACTCGAGTGAGGGCTGGGAGTAGTGAGATACTCGGCTGTCTTAGTTATATGGCTTTTACCGCAATTCCCTTATTTCATTTTATATTTATGGTGTAGGCAGTTGGGCAAGTGTATTAGTCCGTTTTCACGCTGCTGATAAAGACATACCTGAAACTGGGCAATTTACAAAAGAAAGAGGTTTAACTGGACTCACAGTTCCACATGGCTGAGGAGGCCTCACAATCATGGCAGAAGGCAAGGAGGAGCAACTCATATCTTAAGCGAAGGAGGGCAGGCAAAAAGACAGCTTGAGCAGGGAAATTCCCGTTTTCAAAACCATCAGATCTCGTGAGACTTATTCACTATCATGAGAACAGTGCAGGAAAGACCCACCCCCATAATTCAATCACCTCCCACCAGCTTCCTCCCATGAGGCGCGGGAATTGTGAGAGTTACAATTCAAGATGAGATTTGGGTGGGGACACAGCCAAACCATATCAGCAAGAAATACTGAATTTCCTGTTTTCCTCAAACCGTTTTATTTTTATTCCAAATCCCTATCCCACCATACTGGGATGTACTTCGTTCTGTCATCCTTAGCCTTCCCTGCAGGACCAGGACCCCAGGGACCTGCCTCAGTCACCAGGACACCCCCATGAGGTGTGGGTTTTAGCAGCTATGCTGATTCTGGGCTATGTGTGGGGACACTGAAATCTTGGAAAAGTCAAGGTTTGAGGTCCCATCACTCCCCAGGGCACTTCCAGGGAGCAAGAGCTCCCACACCATTCCCAGGTTCACCCACCTACCCCCAAGGATGGGAGCCACCACCCCCACCCCATCTTCATGCTTCCCTCTCCCCTCTCCCTCCGGGACACCCAGCCCACTTCCTCCATGCACTTTGGCTTTTAAAAACCAAAAGTCAGAAAGGGAAGTGTCTTGTCAGGAACTTCTGCCTTTTGCCCACTCTGAGGCAAGGTCAGAGCCTGGCTCCCTGCTTAAATGCGAGAAGATAAATAATAAAATACAGGAAGAAAAACATAAATTCATATCTCAGAAAATTTCCCGGCCATGTATCTGTTATCCTTGTCCTCTCCCCTGGCACCCTTGTGGTGAATAATACTCCCTCCCTGCCCCACCAAAGGTGTCAGCATGCTAATCCCCACAACCTGTGAATATGCCACCTTACATGGTAAAAGGGATTTTGCAGATGTAATTAAATTGAGAATCTTGATGTGGGGATATGATTCTGGATTAGCCAGGAAGGCTCAGTATAACCACAAAGGTTCTGTTTTTAAGTTTTAATTTCTTCTTTAGATTCACAGGGTACATGTGCAGGCTCGTTACAAGGATATATCGTGTAATGCTGCAGTTTGGGCTTCTATTAATTCTGTCACCCAGATAATGAACCATAGTACCCAATAGGAAGTTTTTCAGCCCTTTCCTCCCTGCTTCTCTCCTTCTTTTTGGAGTCCCCAGTATCTGTTGCTCCAATCTTTATGTCTACATGTATCCAGAGTTTAGCTCCCAATTCTAAGTGAGAACATGCAATATTTGGTTGTCTGTTTGTGCATTAATTCACTTAGGATGATGGCTTTCAGCTGCATCCATGTTGCTGCAAAGAACATGATTTTAATCTTTTTTATGGCTATGTAGTATTTTTTATGTAGTATTCCATGGTGTATATGTCTATATTTTCTGTATCCAATCCACTGTTGATGGGCACCTAGGTTGATTCCATGTCTTTGCTATTGTGAATAGTGCTGTGATAAACATATAAGTTCAGGTGTCTTCTGGCTAGAACCATTTGTTTTCCTTTGGGTATATACCCAGTAATGGGATTGCTGGATTGAATGGTAGTTCTATTTTTAGTTCTTTGAAAAATCTCCAAACTGCTTTCCACAGGGACTGAACTAATTTACATTCCTACGAACAGTATATAAGTGTTCTCTTTTATCCACAGCCTTGCCAACATGTTATTTTTTGACTTTTGCATGTTAGCCATTGACTGGTGTGAGATGGTATCTCATTGTGGTTCTGATTTGCATTTCTCCGATCATTAGTGATGTTCAGCTTTTTTGCCATATGCTTGTTGGCCACATGTATGTCTTTGAGGAGTGTCTGTTCATATCCTTTGCTCAGTTTTTAATAAAGTTGGTTTTTTTCTTATTGATTTAAGTTCCTTATAGATTCTGGATATTAGTCCTTTAACAATGGTTTTTATAAGAGGGAGGTAGGTGGGCCAGAGAGAGGAGCTGTAAAGGTGGAAGTAGAGACCAGAGAGGGGAGATGCTACACTGCTGGCTTTGAACATGGAGGATGAGGCCATGAGCCAAGGAATGCAGGCAGCTTCTAGAATCTGGAAAAGTCAAGAAAACAGATTCTTCCTATAAAGGCTCCAGAAGAATCACAGGCTTGCCAACACTTTGATCTTAGCTCAGTGAGACTGATTTTGTACTTCTTATCTCTGGAACTGTTATGATAATACATCTGCATTGTTTAAAGCCACCAAGTTTGTGGTAACTTATTACATCCTACTGGAAACTAATGTGCCACCTGTGGGCAGGGACCTTATGAGTATCTTGCACAGAGTACTCAAAAAAAGTTTATAGAATTGAATTCCCTGCCTCTCATATGTAGAAATTCAGAAACAGCATACTAGACCTAAAATATGGCTTAATTGGCAGGATTTGGGCAGGGTAGTGTTTGGGTTTTTAAAATGTATTTTCCAGGTGTTTGCCCTTACTCTTCCCTCTACCACCCAAGTAGTATTGGGGGCTTTGTACACAGCTCTCGGGGCATGGGTGATCCAGCCTGAAAGGAAGAAGCACCTTCAGCTCCTGGCTTTTGAGCCCTTGGGGAGACCTCATTCAGTTGTAAGATTCAGGCATTGGGAGGGAAAAAAAAGTCTTTAAAATTTTCCAAATATAAATTTCTTTTAAATATCAGGAGCCAAAACATGATACCAGATTATACCATGAATCGTGGAACAGAAGAAATGTGTGATTACGTAAGAACAATTCCTACCAAAAGGACAGGCATTCCACCAACAGGAAGGCAAGAGAGATTCCTAAATGCTGAGACCAGAGAGGTCAGCTGCAATAGGTCTCTAAGAAAGGCCTGTGCTTTGCACTACCCTCCTCTAGGCCAGGCATGAAGCCATGGAAAGAATGGAAGAGCCCCCAAGTAAGTTTGGGAGATTCCGGAGCCGAAAAGACAGTTGAGACAAAGTGGATGCAGGTTACGTGGACTTAAGAGCAGCAGGCTAAGCTGCAGACATGGGCAACAGACACCAGTTATAGTGTAGTGTCAGGGACCAGACAAATGCCACTCAGCTAGTACACGGGACATTATGTGGCAGCTGTGCCTTGTCCCAATGCTAAACACTATGGAAGCACCCTCACTATCCTCCTCACCTTCACCCCTCAACAAGGAGGTGAACCCTGGTGTTTGCCTTAGCATTTAGTCCAAAAGAAATTGTTCAGCAAGTGTAATAGTAAGTCTTCCAACACCACCGGCAGAATTTAGTGCTTGAGAGTAAAATAATTTCAGTTATGGAGAGATATAAACAATGACATCTTTTCACATCAAAAATCTGTACCCTGGTAAAAATTTCTACCCAAAAAAATAACTTCTAATACAGATGAAACGGAAATTTTCATTGGAATGAAACCCAATCTTTGTTATATAAAATTTGTTTTTATTCCCTACAGTTCAAAGAAAATAATTCTATTATATAGCTTCATATTTAAAGCACGTTTTTCTTTCTTAAAAATGTTTTTATGACTGGGCGCAGTGGCTCATGCCCATAATCTCAGCAATTTGGGAGGCCGAGGGGGGTGGATCACGAGGTCAGGAGATCAACACCATCCTGGCCAACATGGTGAAACCCCATCTCTACTAAAATACAAAAAATTAGCCGGGCGTGGTGGCGGGCACCTGTAGTCCCAACTACTCGGGAGGCTGAGGCAGGAGAATCGCTTGAACCCAGGAGGTTGCAGTGAGCCGAGATCGTGCCATTGCACTCCAGCCTGGCAACAGAGCAAGACTCCGTCTCAAAAAAAAAAAAAAAAAAATGTTTTTACGGTAGTTCTATATTTTTCTCTTTTATGACAAGGTGAATTTAAATTTTATGTATCAATTGTACTTTAAAAGTATACATTTTATAGTAGGAGTTTTTTCCCCTTTATCAAACATGAGTTGATCATTTAAAGCTCCATTTTTCATCCCATAGCCTGGAAAACTCTTGATGCGAAAGGGAGATAATCTGAATTCACTCAGGGAAAGAAACTCACCATAATTTATTTTTATGACCTATCAGTGCAATGGAGTGGAAAGGTTGCAGGCCCTGGCATCAGCAGACGTGGTCTCTAGGATCCCAGTGTTCTAGTGCAGTCTCTGGGTGGGTTCCATAATCTCGCTCGTATCTTGTTTCTTCTTCTCCCGTTTACAAAATGAGGGCACTGAAAGAGATGATCTCTAAGGCAGCACTTCTCACACTTGAAAGTATAGATCTCCTTAAAATATAAACTCTGTTTCAGTGGACGGAGGGGGAGGGCCTGACGTTCTGCATTGTAACCAGCTCCCAGCTGAAGCTGATAATGCAAATCCTTAGACCAAACTTTGAAAAACAAGATTCCAAGGGACAGCCCGTATCTAACCTGTCTTGTGTTTCAGTAGCTCATGTATGCATTCAGAGTCCTGCCATTCTTCACATGTTAAGGATATATTTTGGATAGTTAAAAAAAGACTGTATTGTTCAGGTTTCAAGTTAATTTGGGATTGGGATTACTATTAAGGATTGCAGATCACCATAAACAAATACATAAGCACAGCCCTTTCTTCTCTAGCCTAGTGGTTCTAACCCTAACTGCATATTAGTATCACCTAGGGTGCTTTCAAAAACTACCAATGCCTGCCCACCCACACCCACTTACATACACACCAGAATACAATTTAACTGGTCTGGGGCGGGGCCCAGTCACGGGGTCTTGCTCAAAAACTCTACTTGTGATTTGTGCAGCCAAGATAGAGAACCACTGCAGGCCAGTCTCTCCAACTATGAAGGCACTTCAGGTATGGCCAAGTTGTTTTTACTACTACTACCCACAGCTGTTATCCATTAACTCAGTGCATTCTCATGGAAAGCTTAAATTATACAACTCGCATAAACATTTCTCTTATTAACTCAGTAAGAGTTCTCGGCAAGAGAGTTGATACAGAGCCACTCTCAGCTTTGTTTGGTCCTTTTTAGACAAAAACAGAAAATTATCAAATACAATGCACACTGTAGCTATAAAGAGCACACCGGCTCTAAGGGAGATTTTGTCCATTTTCTCTTTTGCAAGGCTCAAATTTAACCAGCAAAGTCTTGTAAAGCTGGCAGAAGCCAGCAGAGGCAGTAAACGTTTCTGGAGGCTCAAATGTCAGCAGAACAATCCGTCTCCAGAGTACAGGTCTTTCCACAATGTCACAGTGCTCAAGAAGCCAGACAATCTGTGTTGTAATACTGGCTACACCATTTTCTAACTGTATGACCTTCGGCAGCTTTCTCAACACCTGAATTTCTTTAACAGTAAAATTAGTAAAAGTGATTATGATTAGGTTAAAATTAGTTGATGTGTGTAAGATGTTTTTTGCACAATGTTTGGTATATAGTGACTATTATTATTATCTACCCCATGAGATTAGAAGTTAATATTATTATTGCCCCCCCACCTTAAAATTACATCTTAGCATTGCCTTAGCAAGACTACAGGATACATATATTTGTTTAGAGAATGATGAAAAGTGTAGTGTGGCTGCTGGCAAGGCTGGGGCAGTCATAAAGCCAGAAAAGTAAATTGAGGCTGATTTGTGGCAGACCTTATAGACTAGGCTAAAAAGTCTAGCTTGACCCTACTGACAATGGAGAGCCATTTGAAATTTTTGAGCCAGAGAATGATGTGATCATTTTCCTGCTTTAAAACAGATAAGTGCAGAGTTCAAACAGGGTTTGCAGGTATCTCACCTCTTCTTGAGCTACCAGCATTTCTCCGTCCTACTTCTACAATTGATGTCACCACAAGATTGCAATTTGTGGTTATCCTAAAGCAAAAAGGAAGTCTCAAACTACTGACATTTTCGTTTCTGCCCCAAGAGGATGACAGTTGAACAAAACCTTGAAGTCCCGATGTACCTCTGACAACTCCCAGTCAGCTACATCCTTGGGATAATTTTATTTTTCCCTTAAATCTTATAACAGATATTTGTATCAACCTAAGTCACTTAGGTGATTTACACTCCAGTCCTCTAGCAAGACCCAAATCAAAGCAAGAGAGCAAGGTAACTGAGAATAATGTCATGGATCATCCTGGAATAGCTTAGGGCCTCCAGGTACTGTGGAAATTTCTTCTTTACTTGAGAGAAATGGCTACCTTGCTATCAAGTAGCTCATAGGTTTAGGGTCAAGGAGTTTACAGCTGAGAGTTGGGGCTTGGCAGTTGTGATAAAGAATGTGAAAACTTACACAGGCAGTGAATTTTGCTCAAATTAACTCTCACATGTTAAAACCAGAGGATATAAAATTAGGTAGCCTGACCCTGAGCTTCTACTTAAGGAAAAGACCAAACACTCTTTCTTTCTTTCTTTCTCTTCTTTCTTTTCTTTTCTTTCTTTCTTTCTTAGATGGAGTCTTGCTATGTCGCCCAGGCTGGAGTGCAGTGGCGCAATCTCAGCTCACTGCAACCTCCACCTCCCAGGTTCAAGAAATTCTCCTGCCTCAGCCTCCCAAGTAACTGGGATTACAGGCGCCCACCACCATGCCTAGCTAATTTTTGTCTTTTTAGTAGAAACGGGGTTGCACCATGTTGGCCAGGCTGGTCTTGAACTCCTGACCTCGTGATCCACTTGCCTTGGCCTCCCAAAGTGCTGGAATTACAGGCATGAGCCACCACTCCTGGCCCAAACACTCTTAAATAAAACAAATAAATTTCTTCCAACATGTAAGTGAGAGGTATTTGGGAAGTGATGTTGAAATGATGTAACTTCTAAACCTAGTTCTTCCTTGATTTGGGGAGAGTTATTTAACATTTAGATCTCTGTTCTCCCCACAATAAACAGTAGTAGCAAATTGTCAATCATCCAGATGTGCAAATTTCAACAAATGCTATTGGGTGCTTACTATGTGCTAGCCCTTGCATTTTATCCACTAAATCCTCACCATAACCCGATTGATTAGGTAACACTATTAATCCTGTTTTGCAGAAAAGAGTACTGAAACATAGATCAAGTAGCTTGTCCACAGCCACAGAGCTTGAAAGTGGCAGAGCTTGGATGCAAACACAGAATATAGAGCCTGTGCATCTCCAGTAAAATGAAGTCACTGCCCGGAACAAACGTAGAGCCTAGTGGAGGGAAACAGCATGTACAAACACCTTTACAACACAAGGTGCATCTGCAAGAAATCAAAAGGGAAATAATGTTAAGGGAGAGAAGAAGGGAGAGAGAAAACATTGTTGCCAGGGTCAAAGGGCTTCTGGGAAAAGTTATGCTGGAAATGGGGCTGAAAAGAATGAATGCTTGGGATTTCACAGGGTGAGAGAGTGAAGACATTCTAGGTAGAGAAAACAATATGAACAAAAGCATGAAAGCAAATGCCAGGCACATTTTAGGTATATCATTACTGTGCTTTAGTAAAAGAGAGGCAGAGTGGGTGGAAACAGACTCCACAAAAGCCTGGAGAAGTATTAAGGGTCTGAACCAGCTGGTGGAGGAAGAGAAAGTAGGAAAGAAATCTATGAGACATTAATTACTAAGGAAGAATGCTGAGAATTTGGCTACTCTTTAAGGCTAATGTCTAATTCAACTTTGTATTTAGGGTGCCTAGTCCTATATCTGGCACATAGTACACTCTAAGCTCATGTGTGTTGATTGAATGAAGGAGAAAAAGAACCAGAGATGGGTCAGGAAGTCAGCTGGGTATAAGTAATTCAATGAGTATCATAAAAGAACTCTGAGGTTATACATATGAGTAAATGTTAGAGTCATGAACTTAAATAGAGAAGTCAAGAAGGGAAACTGGTTTGGAGGACTGCCAGTCTACCTCACAAGGTTCTGGCAAAGATGAAATCAAATGAGGTTAATACAGTGCTTCTGTAACTCTATTTGAGGCATATGTATTTGCATTCGTTTGTTCACTGAACATTCTTCCACATTCTCTGTGCCATGTATTCAGTCAATGAATACTTCATGAACATCTATAATCTGTGCTACAAAGATGAAGATAACACGTTTGTCTGAGAAACTCGCTGTCTAGTGGTTGAGGTAGAAACAAAGCAGAGTAATAATAGTAGCCAATGTTTATTGACTATTTGCTGCATGCCACGCATAATTACTTTGTGTATTGACTCATTTTATTCTCATAACAATCCTATGAGGTATATATTATTACCATCTGTGGTAGGCAGAATAATAGCCCCCAAAGAGACCCATGTCCTAATCTCCAAAACCTGTGACCATGCTATATGACACCACAAAGGAGAATTAAGCTGCAGGTGGAATTAAGGTTGCAAATAAGCTAATATTGGGAAAGGGAGCATAGCCTGGGTTATCAGGTGAGCTCAATGTAACCATAAGAGCCCTTAAAAGTAAAAGAGGAGTCAGAGTCAGAAGGAGATGTGACAGTGGAAGCAACATGTTACAATGGAGTAATATGTCTCAACCCTCCATTGCCAGCTTTGAAGATGGGCTTGCTGACACATTGATTTTAGCCCAGTAAGAAAGGTCTAATTCCAACTTCTGAGCTATAGAAATGTAAGATCATGCATTTTTTTTTTGCTTAAAGCCACTAAGTTTGTGGTAATTTGTTACAGCAGCAATAAAAAACTAATAAACTATTCTATTTCTAGAGATGAGGAAATGGAGGCACAGAAAGATTAAGTTACTTGTCCTAATTTTGAATACTTAACATTGTTCTGTCTTGGGAGCTTCCTGGTTTTTCTCACACCTCTCAGGTTCATTTGTTTCTCAGGCTCCATGCAAGATTCCTCATCCCAACCCAATCTCTAAACATCAGTGTTTCTCAGAGATTTCTTCCAGAGATACACTTCTCTTTCTCTTTGAATTCTTTTCTACATGATCTCATCTATGCCCAGAGTTTTAAATACTGCTTATGATACAGTATTATACTGATGACTCCCAAAATGATATTTCTAATTGGGACCCTTTCCTCTGAGCTCTACACTAGTAAGCTTGGCATCTGGCAACCTGATATCTTTATTTGAATAGACTACAAATATTTCAAACCTAACATGTTCAAAAAAGAATTTCTACCACAAACAACTTCCCAATCCCCACATTCAATTACACTTGACTCAAGTCAAAAAGTTTAGTAAAGCTTCATCCTCTCTTTCCCTCACCCTCCATGTTCATCCCACTAGCACTTAACCCAGTCCATCCATTTTTGTCTGCCTTGACTACCAACCTGGCCTAAACACCCATCATTTCTCACCTGCAAAACTGTAGTAACTTCCCAATGGCTTCTGCTTCTACCCTTGTTCCTCCATGGAACTCTTTTCCTCACCAAGGTGAGAGTGTCCTTCTTTGACAGTAAATCAGATCTTGCCACTTCCCTGCTTAACATCCTTTAATGGCTTTTCATTGTCCTTAGAATAACATCTAAGCTTCTTTTCCATGACTCCTAAGGCCCTGTGCAATCCAGCCCTGTCCACCTCATCCATCTCACCTGATGCCATTGCCACTCACTCATTCACCTTTTTTCAATGACACTGGGCTTCTCTCGTTGTCTCAGCCCTCAAAGTTCTTTCCTGCCTCAAGGTCTCTATATCTGCTACTTCTCTTTTGGGGAGTGTACTCACATACCTTTCACCTATCTATTCATTCTTCGATTTTCATGTGAAATGTCTCCGCAGTAAAGACAACACCAAACCATGTGAACTAAAGTGTTTTCATTCTGCCATCTGACCTCTCCCAACTTTATTCTCTATCTCAGGCCCATTATTGCCTTCATAGCACTGATTACACCCTGCAGTTTTTTTGTCATTTGGTTGTTTTTGTTTTTGTCTTTCTAGAATGTTAGTTCAATAAGGGCAAAAACTGTGTCCGTCTTAATTACCACAGTAATCCCAGAGCTTAGTACTATGCCTGACACAAAGTAGGTGCTCAATAAATGTGTTCAATGTTGAATAAATGTTAATGTACAAAGTTAGTTATGTTCAAAATGGTACAGGAGAGTGACATCAGCCAGATGATGGAGTAGGAGATGCCAACCTCTATCTCCCCACAAAAACTAACAAATAGGCAGATATCCATAAATGAAAATAGCTTTGAGAGGACTTAAGGGTCCAATTAAGAATCTGCAGAATGCAGTAGAGCAAAACGGAAAAGCATAACCCCACAGAAAGGATCACTGGGGAGATCAGCCCATCCAAGACATCTGGAGATGCCTAAGAACAAAGAAGAAGGGTGGGGGCTGCCAGTCTCAGTCACATGGTGGGTGTCACCACAGTCCTCTGTTCTCCAGAGGACACTGGCATATCTCACCACCAAGGTAACCAATGCCATCCTGCTGCAGAAGACCCCCAAGAGAAGGAGCTGCTGCTGTACTTCCTATTTCCTTCCAAGGGGGAACCACTGCCAACCCTCCCAACCCTGCATGTGACCCAGACCCTGGAGCTGCAGCTGCTTCATGTGTGAATGCACTCCAGACCCCAGCTCTGTGGGCACCCTGTGCATGCCCTTGCCTCAAACACCAAAGCTACCACTACTATAGCTAGCTCTGCCACAGGCCTTGAGGACTTGATAGTATAATCCAGAGAGGGTCAAAACATACATAAGATAGCTTTAAAATCTCGTGTTTCATCTTTAATGTGAATTTTACATTACTCTCCAAGATAGCTTTGTGTTTTATGTCAATAAAAAAGAATGCTATCTGTCCTCAGATAAAAGGTGATGCTTTATAAAGATGCTCCATTTTTCTGTCTGTGGCTGCATTTACCCCATTTTGAGATTTGCTCGTGACCCTAAGAGAGCTGGAACTCATCACAGGAATTGAATGTAGAGGACTGAGATCAAGAGAATGTGCAGGTTAATGTGAAAAATGAACTTGGAGACAGAAGAGCTAGATATGAATCTTCAGTTATCCATTTCCTGGGTGACTTTAGCAAAGTCAATTCAATTCTTTGAAATTTAGTTTCCACATCTGAAAAATAGGCCTGCAGGTTATATCTCTCTAAGAGTTGTAGGCTATTGTTTTTTAATCTTTCCAAGCCCTTCTTCCTTCACCTACCTATTTTGAGGACCAGTCTAGTAGTGTGAGATAATGCCCATTCTCCTTGAGAGGATTTAGAAATCAATGGGAACCAGCATAGACTAAGAACTCACCATAGTTCTGAAAACTGAAAACTTGATTATTTTTAAAAATAGTCACTTGTAAACATATTTTAAAATAATTCATAAACTAATAGAATATCTTACATATACTGTGTCTTGATTTTTATAAAACATTTGACAAAGTTTCTTGTGGTACTTTTTTCTTAATTAATAAAAAGCTATTGTTTTATTATATTCCACATTCATATTGAGTGGATTAAAATTCTGGGTGCAACATAAAGTCAAAATAACTGAATAATGTAACATGTTAAAAACATATTTCTGTCCAAAACTTGGGCCATGAGTCACTTTGAAAACAGTTACTGTGGTTTTTTTTATTTATTAGGTAATTTTTTTATTATACTTTAAGTTTTAGGGTACATGTGCACGATGTGCAGGTTAGTTACATATGTATACATGTGCCATGCTGGTGATGAGAGCTAACTTTTCTTACTGCTTAGCTGGCATTGCAACTGGTTGAATAATACTTTGAAAGAGTATTGATTACCAATTCTGAAAAAAGTTCACTTAACAGTGTACCACCAGTCTCTGTAAAAGGCCCTGTCAGATGCAGTATTTTCTATTAATAATATGGAAGAAATATTGTACAGACAAATTATGTATAATTGATTAACACACCAGAGATTCAAAATGATCCTGACAAGCTAGAATATTATATATAAATTACAAAAATAATAATTTAAACAATATTAACTGTAAATTTGTACATTTAGCCTTGGCATAGAAAATTCTGGGCTGCAAAGCAGTTCTGGTTCAATAGATGTGAGTATATAGTTAGTTACAAGTGCAAAATTAGTTGAGGAAAAGTATGGTTGCTTTTGAGCTATCTTGGCTTTAGTTGGTATTAATAGGAGTATTATACCTAGAACACAGGAAATAATAAGTTTAATATCATTTGGCAATGATGAGATAAAATGTTAGATTCTGGAGAAGACTGTAGAAAAAATTAGACTACGTCCTGGAAGAAGTGACTAAATGGCGGTAGTGCTGTTTTATGATCGTTTCAAATAAAAAAAGAAAAGTAAATAAAAACATGGCGGGAGATCTGGAAAACAGAAGGTTGAAAGATGTTCTGGGGATGTGTAACCTGATGAGGAAAGTCTGGGGGGTTGGGGGACATAATCTTCCCAGCCTTTCCAGCTACCTCCAAGCAGAGACAGTAGACGTACTACCTCCCTGACATGGTTTTGCTGTGTCCCCGCCCAAATCTCACCTAGAATTGTCAAAATCCCCACGTGTCAAGGGTGGGGCCAGGTAAAGATAATTGAATCATGGGGTTGGTCTTCCCCATACTGTTCTCGTGGTAGTGAATAAGTCTCACGAGATCTGATGGTTTTATACATGGGAGTTCCCCTGCACAAGCCCCCTTGCCAGCCACCATGTAAGACGTGACTTTGCTCCTCTTAACCTTCAGTCATGATTGTGAGGCCTCCCCAGCCACGTGGAACTGTGAGTCTATTAAACCTCTTTCCTTTATAAATTACCCAGTGTCTGGTATGTCTTTATTAGCAGCATGAGAACAGATGAATACACTCCCCTTCAGGGGATGGGGCAAGGACCTAGGGAAAAGGGGCAGGTAAAGTGGGCTCTAATTCCAGATGAAAAAGAACCAGAAACCACTGAGTAGACTGTCTCCAAAGGCAAATCCTCTATTCACTGGCTGCTTTCAAGAAGAAACTTCATCACTCCGCATCAGGGATTTTGAAGAGGGGAGGATTTGTTCATCTAGTAAAGCTAGATTAAATAAACAATGTGGCTCCTTCCAAACTTAACATAATTTATTTACAAATTATTAAGACAAGAAGCTAAATCATATAGCTACCAGTCCCACACAGTATGCTTATTTTTACAAATGTGAGGTAAGGCAGAAGGTGCCCACAGATGCCTTGTCTCACTATTTGCGTTTTGTAGCAACTATTTTCCTTCAGTCACTATTGCAACCAGATTGAATGTCTGCATGCTTTTACTCCATTAGTGTAGTGGTTAAAAGAGCATGAGCTCTGGAGACAGACCTCCTCTGCTTTAATTTTGGTTTTACCAGTGTGGATTTAGGGCACATTAGCGTTCAAGCCTGTTTCTAATCTGTAAACGGGATAACAGACCCGTTCATAGAGTCGTTGTGAGGATCAACTGAGACAGTCCATGTAAAGCACCTACTGTGGTTCTTGCAACATAGCAAACCCTCAGCAAATGTTACCTATGATTATATTATTAGTAGTAATAGACTGTATGGTTCTTTGCAATGTGGATTTTACTCTTCAACTTTAACTCTCTCCTACTTTAGGGCGTAAATTACTGAGTTTGTCTTGTTAACTGTTCTGCTTCAGGAACAGTAGAATTGATGATACAAAGTGGGGCTTCTTAAACAGATGGTAAAAAGTAGCATGGTGCAGTGCTCAGGCCGGGGGCCTGGAGTCTAGTCTTCCATTACGGACTAGCTCTGTGACCAGAAAAATCATTTATCCTATGCATCAGGACTGAATTATCTTTATGCTCTTTCCTGGCTAAAATATTTTGTCCTAAAAGGAGCCATGGGTGGAAAATAAAAAATGAGGACAGACAGAAGGAATAAGAAAACCGAAAAGCCTGAACACTGACGATTTAGTCTTTGAATCAAAGTATCTCCTTTGCAAATTTTACTGTGCAATTAATTGTCCTTGTGAACTGTATATGCTAAGGCAATAATAACTATTTCATCCAATTATAAATTACTAAAATTGCCCTAAATTTTAATAAGTGTATGCCTTGTTCAACAGAGGGGAAGCTAAAGGTGAAACTTGCCAGAGATTGTGACAATACTCATATGCAGCCCTCATTATAGGTCTGCACACGAAGGAAATGATCATAGCTGAAAGAAATAGAAAGTTGACTGCTATATAACCCTAGTGTGTTTTGATTTGCTCTGAAATTCTGTAGATTGTACAAGATCTTGAATAGATAGAATTAAAAGAATTCTTTTAATGACAGATGGCTACCTGAAGCTCTACTCTAAGCCAGAGCCACACATTCCCTGTATATCAGAGAGATGGCCTCAGTAATCAGGGGCACAAGGTTCACTCTCCTCCTCTCTCCTGCTCCCCTCTACCCCCGTCTCCCAATTTTGCAAGCACCTCCAGTGTGAATGTATTGTGCATACAAAAAGTAAGACGTGCTCCTGGTGTCAAGGAATTCACAGTGTCATAGAAGAAATAGCCACATAAACAGATCACTCCAGTGCATCGTCATAAGTGCAATGTAGAAATATGTTCGGAGCAGTCTCTGGGTATTACAGGAGGGCTAACTGACCCAGATGAGGAGTGGGAAATGAGACAATTAAACAAGAGAGTACTGGGCAACAATGCAAACCAAGTCTTTAAAGTTACATAGGAATTAGTAAAATAAACGGAATAGGCAGGGTGGCAAGAAACAGCATAGTGGCTGCAAGTGCACTATAAGTAGTTCCACATTGCTGAATCATAATATACAGGACAGGAGGTGGGAAATATAGAATAAAGAAGTTGGCATGAAATGAACAGAAAAGATCCATTTGTGTGATGGTAAAGTGCCTAGACTGGTAGTCCTAAAAGTGTGGTCCATGGACCAACAGTATCAACATCACCTGGGAACTTGGACATGTACATTCTTATGCCTTATCCTGGACCTACTGATCAGAAACTCTGGTGGTAGGGTCCAGCAATTGATGTTTTCAAAGGTGATTTTCGTGCACACTATGGTTTGAAGAACACTGGCCTAGACTATCTTGTAGTGGGAGGGGAAATTTTGAAGAGTGACATGGTCAGATTTGCATCTGAAGCCTCTGCTCAGGTCCCTATTTGTCCACCAAATCCCCATCCCCATCTATAGCAAAGCCAACCCGGTGACCTTTAGCTCAGAGAAATATTCAAAACTTCACGGTCTCCTGAGCCAGGCAATATTGGACGGTAGGGGCCCAGCTTATCAGCCATTTCTGGAAGGCCATTTCCATTACAGCATGCAATCTCTCATATTAATTCTAACCAAACAGTGCCTCTAAATGGTGATGAAGATTCTGACACAGAAACTGCTAGTTCTAGCTGATAGATCAAATTCCTTTAGGCCCAGTACTGAATTCAGCTACCCCAATGCTATCAATACCTCAGCCCACAACACCCCAGGCTTTTATTCCACTTCACACCTGTCACCATTACTTCAGAATTTTATGAATTCCAAGGCACGTTTTTCTTTCTTCCTGCTATAGTTCCTGTCATAGTCCCTTCCTGTTATAGTTCCTGCTATAACAGCCAAAAGAGGATCCATCTAGTCCCCGATCCTGTGTCCACACCTTGGTTTAGTCTTTTCATGAATCTTATAAAAACAAATCAGGAACATGACATCAAATACACATTTCCCTGCCTTTTATGATTTTAGAGATTACTGCCATAATTAAAGGCCACTTCAGAAGATGGACTTACATTTGGGAAACAAAGTAAATTGTATTTTCCTACATATTTATAAAACTATAGAGCTGGGTAACATCAAGCTACTGGGATGGAATATGTCCTGAAAAAATCCTTATCATAGGAATATCTTATTGACTACAAAATATATATTTGGACCATTTTGAGATATGACCTCATCATCAATGAAAAATTATTTTGTAAAAAATTTCATGCAGACACCATACATACTTAAACTTTGAGATATTGGTCTATCTTAACCATAAATCTGTAAGTTTTATTTTTAGCACTGGAATTTTTTTAAGTACCATTCATACCACCCTCCAATATATGAAATAAACAGAAGTCAAGTCACTCTGGTTGAAGCTCAGGAAGGGGGAACAGAGTACCAGCTGTCAGCACCTTCCTTCTCCCCATTAGCAGTGCCTGATGCACTTCCATAGGCCCATTGTTTTAGAATCATTGATCTAATTTGCTCCCAGCGGGCATGAATAATCCCACTCCACTAATAAGGCTCATCTGAGTTGTATCAGATTCTTCAGAGAAACAGAACCAGTATAATTTGTGTGTGTGTATTCACTCCTTAAATAAATATATATATCCCTTAAATATCTTTATATATGAATATACTTACATATAATATTTATATATATAAAATAAAGACTATTTTGTCCGGGCACGGTGGCTCACACCTGTAATCCCAGCACTTTGGGAGGCTGTGGTGGGCAGATCACAAGGTCAGGAAATCAAGACCATCCTGGCCAACATGGTGAAACCCCGTCTCTACTAAAATACAAAAAATTAGCCGGGCATGGTGGCACGTGCCTGTAGTCCCAGCTACTTGGGAGGCTGAGGCAGGGGAATCGCTTGAACCCAGGAGGTGGAGGTTGCAGTGAGCCAAGATCACGCCATTGCACTCCAGCCTGGCAACAGAGCAAGACTCCATCTCAAAAAAAAAAAAAAAAAATTAGCCAGGTGTGGTGGTGTGCATCTGTAATCCCAGCTACTCAGGAGGCTGAGGCAGCAGAATCGCGTGAACCCAGGAGGCGGAGATTGCAGTGAGTCGACATCGCGCCGTTGCACTCCAGCCCCGGTCACAGTGAGAGACTCCGTCTCAAAAAAAAAAAAAAAAAAAAAAGATATTTTTAAAGAATTGGCTCATGTGATTGTGGGGCTGGCAGTCTGAAATCTGTTAGACATTCCATCAGGAATTGATGCCTTCCTGAGTCCCAAGCCAGACTGGAGTCAGAACTTCTTCCTTGAGACCTCAGTCTTTTCTCTTAAGGCCTTTAACTATATGAGACCCACTCACACCATAGTGGTTAATCTGCTTTACTTAGTGTCTGCTGATTTAAATGTTAGTTACATCTAAAAAAATACCTTCACAGCAACATCTAGACTGGTGTTTGATCAAACAACTAGGCACAATAACCTAGAGAAGTTGGCACATAGAATTAGCTAACATAGTAGCTGAACCCAGCTTGGGCTGAGTTTCCTGGCTCATGTAGAAATAAGAAAGGCTCAAAAAATTGCTGACCAGAGATGAAAAAAGCATCTTGTAGTGCCAATGTGATCAAAAGATGCTACTTTGAAATGATTAATGTCCAAAACTACAGGTCGAGCAAGGGCCACAAGCAGAGTAAAGAAGGCCTAATTTTAGTGAATTTGGCTTATCTCAAAAATGAATCCTAGAGTAGAAATTCATCACCAAAGTTCTGCCAGAAACGAAAAGCTTTTCATTAAAGATCTATTAATATTTGAGGTTGATAAATTGAGGTTGAAACTCTAGCAGATTGGAGTTTCATACATAACTGGGACCTGTTTCCTAGCAGCTGGTTCTTGTTACCAGGGATGTAAATGATGAAAATAAAATTTTTGCCTTTTGAAAGCTGAGCTCATACTTCTTTTTCAAAAGACTATTAGCTCTTTAACCTAAAAAAAAAAAAAGATTCAGAAAGGAGTGGCTGAATAACCAATACAGTATGGTTCACTCATGCATTATTTAATCACTCAGAAAGTTTTTGGAATGTAAGTTGTGTACTTTTACACTACACAGCCCAAGTCTCAGAACGGGCCCCTCTAAACCCACTCCCAAGCTGAACTACACACATTACTATGCTGGTACCACTCTTATTTTGGCCTCATGTGTTGGATCAGGGCAGCCATTTTAAAAAATTGACAGATGACATTGTATGTTTTTATTGTATACATGATGTTTTGAAGTATATATACATTGTAGAATGGTTAACAACTCTAGCTAGTTTAAAAATACATTAACTCACATAGCTGTCATTTTTGTAATGAGAGCACATAACTTCCACTGTTTACATTTTTCAATAATACAATATACCATCAACTATAGTCACCTTGCTATACAATAGATATCTTGAAATTTACTCCTCCTATCTAACTGTAATTATGTATCCTTTGACCAGCATCTTCCTATACCCTACCCCTCTAGCCACCCTAGTCTCTGGTAACTACCACTATACTCTCTACTTCTATGAAATCAGCTTGTTTAGCTCCCACATGTGAATGAGACCAAGCAATATTTGAGTTTCTAGACCTGGCTTTTTTTATCTATTTACTTATTTTTGAGACAAAGTCTCACTCTGTTGCCCAGTCTGGAGTGCAGTGGCGCGATCTCGGCTTACTGCAACCTCTGCCTCCCAGGTTCAAGCGATTCTCGTGCCTCAGCCTCACGGGTAGCTGGGATTATAGATGCATACCACCATACCCGGCTAATTTTTGTATTTTTAGTAGAGGCAGGGTTTCACTGCGTTGGCCAGGGTGGTCACGAACTCCTGACCTCAAGTGATCCATCCGCTTCAGCTTCCCAAAGTGCTGAGATTACAGGTGTGAGCCGCTGCGCCCAGCTGGGCTTATTTCATTTAACATAATGTCCTCCAGGTTCATCCATGTCACAAATGTCAGGATTTCATCCTATTTTTATGGCTGAACAGTATTCCATTGTGTATATTTACCATATTTTTTTCTTTCTCCGTTTATTCATTGCTGGGCATTTAGATTGATTCTGTATCTTGCATAGTGTGAATAGGGCTAAAATAAATATGGGAGTACAGATATCTCTTCACCATAGTGATTTCATCTCCTTTGGATATATACCCAGTAGCGTGTGTACGTGTGTGTTTAATTTTCATTTTGACTCAGTGTTCTGTGGAAAACTTTAATTCACTTAAAAAGGCTGAACTAAAAATATCAATAAAGTTTCACTTTCAGCACAAAACTAGAAATGATGTAAATACAATTTTTTTATCTTGAAGAATTATGATTTTAAGTTGGAGGAGGGATGAGGGAATTAACAACTGTGTTTATGCTATTGGCGTATGTCTTGGCCAGTTTTGCTAGTAAACATCTTTGTCAGTTCTATGGGAGCAATTAAACATGAAATATGCAAGTTTTGAATATTGCCAAGTCTTCAGGAACACGTCACTCTCATAAAATGAAACCGTATTGTACTTTCTCTGCTTTAGTCATATGCCTGTACCATTCATGTCAATAAAGTTTCTTTAATTTGTTGACTGGCATCTGGGTTTTAAGAAGCAGAGAAGAGAATCATGATAAATTTATGTTTCAGGCTATTAAGCGATATTTAGAAAAACTGAAATAAATAGTTAATTGGATACAGTCATCTTGTTAGCTTTAATAGTTTTTCTGCCTTTTTTGCAGTCATGAAACTCTTTGACAACCTAAAGAAAGCTATGGGTCTAGGGCCGGGCGCTTGGGAGGCCAAGGCGGGCAGATCACTTGAGGTCAGGAGTTCAAGATCAGCGTGGCCAACATGGTGAAACCCCCATCTCTACTAAAAATACAAAAAAATAGCGGGGTGGGGTGGTGGGCGCCTGTAATCCCAGCTGCTGGTGAGGCTGAGGCAGGAGAATCATTTGAACCTGGGAGGCAGAGGTTCCACTGAGCCAAGATCATGCCATTGCACTCCAGCCTGGGTGACAGAGCTAGACTCCGTCCCCCTCCAATCCCCCCCTACCACCGAAAAAAAAAAAGAAAAATGGGTCTAACCCCCAGAAGAATGCATACATGTTCATGTACACTCCACTTTACCTATGTGTATTACAGACCCCAAGTAAAAAAATCCCTCCTTAGATATAGGATATTTGTGGAGTGGAGCTCTGCATAAGCAAGCACAGGTCCTCTAACAGAGCCACCTCTACCTGCAGTTTCAGCAGTCAGCCTCTAGCTTACTAGGTGCATGTGTAGATAGAATGTAGTCCTGGGTTCCAATTACCCTTCCATCAACCTTCCTAAATGTTCTGGGACTTCTCTTTGTATTCAGGATCAAAGAATTTTAGACTATTAAACCAAAGGTGAAACAAGATTCCTGATGTTACAAATATTTACAACTATTTTTTTTGGTAACTATCAGAGAGCACTAATGACAACTAAAACAATTCAGAAACACACGGAATAGAACAAACTACACAATGTGCTAAATTTCATATGATAAAATCTGACTTAGGTAATCAGGGATAGTTTTTTCTTCAAATAGTTTATTAAATCAATTTGTACCAGAAACACACGCACACACAGGCACACATATATACACATATACATATATGGGCATACATAGTGAAGCTCTGAAATTACAGGAACATACATAGTATTTATGTTAATATATTTTTGAATATTATTTATCAAGACTATGCCTTTCTTGAAAAGATATCAAGATCTGAAAATCCAAAAATATAAAACAAGAATCTGTGGATTTTCATTTAAAAAGTAATTCTTGGGCCAGGCGCAGTGGCTCATGCCTGTAATGCACTTTGGGAGGCTGAGGCAGGTGGATCATGAGGTCAAGAGATAGTAACCATCCTAGCCAAAATGGTGAAACCCCGTCTCTACCAAAAATACAAAAAAAAAAAAAAAAATTAGCTGGGCATGGTGGCGTGTGCCTGTAGTCCCAGCTCCTCGGGAGGCTGAGGCAGGAGAATCGCTTGAACCTGGGAGGTCAAGGTTGCAGTGAGCCAAGATAGCACCATTGCACTCCAGCCTGGGCACAGAGCCAGACTCTGTCTCAAAAAAAAAAAAGTAATTCTTAATTTTAAAAAAGTACAAAATTATTTATTCAACTAGAAGTTCTGTCCATTCAACTACTTGTCACACATCTGTATAAAAGGGCATTTACTCAGAGGATTATTTTATTATTATCAGAAAACATAAAAGGTGAGTTGAAAGATATCAAAAAAATCTCTATTTTAAAAGGACACTTTGGAGCCATAAAAATCATTATTTTTCTCTAGCAGACCAAAAGCTAAAGATCATTTTCAGGGGGATGGACCAACAGCAATGGATAGGGCCTGAATTCTCAGATTTCCCATAGCATCAGTGGAGAGAGAAAACTTCCACTTTATGAAGCTAGATTAGAGCAAGTGTTAACAAAATAAAGTCTTCTACACATTAAAAAAAATCTCATACCGGCTCATTAAGGGAGCAAGGGAATTACTAGAAATAACTCTGAAATTCTTTCCCACAAATACTGAACTTTCATTCTTTTTAAAATGCGTGTCTGTCAACAATTACAAGAAGGAACAGTAAGACAAGGAAAACAAAGAAGTTGCTGATTATAGGTTCTGTTATGAACAAATATATATTTTTAAATTTTATATTTTCAATGGTAGACATGATTTCTTACATGTTTATAATAATTGCACTTGGGTTGATTCCTAGAAACTTGGGAAAGTATAATCACATAGTTTATAGGTTTTACATTTACTTTTAGAAAGGCAAATCATCTCATGCATTCCTATAAGAAAAAATACCTTTGTGAATTCTTGGGTTTATACTCCTAAAATATAAAAATGCTTTCTCAGGAAAAATGAATTATGATCAAAATTTTAAAAATCAGAGATGCAGAACTCAATCAGAAATTCCCTTCATAGGCTAGGGGAAGTGACCAAGGATAAATCAAAACACTAAGACTAAAAATGTTTCAGGTACTGGTTGTGTCTTCAGTGTTTTCCCTGAAGCCCAAATCAGATTTAAGTAAGATGTAAGAGGTATGAGAGGTCTGCCTTGAATCCTAGAGCTTGGAAAGTCTTTTGGAAAAGACATGGAGAAAAGAAACACCTTTGTGAAAACCTAGACAACTATGGCCGAGTGACTGGGATACATTTGTAACAACGTAGAAAAGGTGAAAAACAACAAATTCTATATACAGGTGATTGATGATTTAAAATATCAAAATAAACTTTAAAAGTCCTTTATACCATTGAAAACATACACTTTACAAAAGCACTATACCATGTAATTCAGATTCTGAGACCTGTACACACTTAAAAGCAGAAAGTGTTTGCAGTACTACTTATAACAGCATCACCTAAAACACCAGTCTTCAACCAACAGGTGATAAATGGCAGCACAAATAAATTATCTAAAATATATTCTCCCTTAAATTTGTTTTATAAAAATCCTGCCTAGGGCTGAAATTCATCAACTTCTGAAAAATAAGAATTTGGAAAATCTCACTTTCAAATGTCCAAGAAGAAATCTCATAACCATGGCTCAGTGGCTTCCTTTGGTGACAAAAACAGGGTAAATCGATGTTATAGTTCATCAATATCACAAAATGGATTGTAGGTTGCATTTGCCAGGCCTTTCACAGTGTCCTGGCGTTTATTTTCCTCTCTTATGGGTTTTTCTTTATTTTATCATTTATGATCATTTATTATAATAATGGTTTGGTGGTTTCTCCCACATATTTTCAGAGCATCTTAGGCAAGCTCCTTTACCTCTCTGAGCCTTAGTTTCATCATTAGTAATATAAAAATGGAAACATCTACCACTCAGATCTTCCTTCTTGGGACTTGAGTGTAATTTATCTTCTAAAACATGGAGTCTCTCTTCCCCACACACCTGGGAATTTACTACAGTTTCATGGCAATTATTTTTTCATGATTCATCTTCAGGTTTACAGCTTATCATGGATTTTTTTTCACCATGTCTCCTTAAAAGATACAAATGGATCTACCATTTCCTCTGTCTTGTTTTCCTGCATTTCCTGCTTTTCATGCCTAGAAACAGAAAGATTACACTCACATGATGAACATCCATACTAACAACATCCCATAAAATGTTACCAATCTGAAAATTTCTGATCTTGACTGTCACTCCATCTTCACTTTAAAAAAAAATTGTTTTTAAAGGAAAATTGCCATAAGATTTTAATTCACCTCCATCAACATCCATCCCTCTACCCCTACCCCTCGCCTCCCATCAACTGCTCCTACCTAACTTGTGGTCTATGGGAAACACCCTTGACTTGCAGTCTGCATGCCTGGTTCAAGCTCTGATTCTACTCCTTAAGAGCTTCAGAAAAATCTCCTTAACTGGCTGGGCGTGGTGGCTCACACCTGTAATCCCAGCACTATGGGAGGCCGAGGCGGGTGGATCACGAGGTCAGGAGTTCGAGACCAGCCTGGCCAACATGGTGAAACCTCGTCTCTACTAAAAATACAAAAACTAGCCAGGCGTGGTGGTGGGCACCTGTAATCTCAGCTACTCAGGAGGCTGAGGCAGGAGAATTGCTAGAAACTGGGAGGGGGAGGTTGCAGTGAGCCAAGATTGCACTACTGCACTCCAGCCTGGGAGACAGAGTGAGACTCTGTCTCAAAAAAAAAAAGAAAGAAAGAAAGACAGAAAAATCCCTTTAACCAGGGGTTCCCAAGCAGGTTCACTATCAGCATCATCTGGGCAGCTTTTTAACTGTTAAAGCAGAATCTTGGAGGGGGTAGCGGAGGGGAGGAGAGTGAAGCACACAAAAAAATACAAGGGTCTCTTTTATGAAAAGCTCTGCTAGATGATGCAAATGAAGACTCTAGTTTGTGACCTATGTGCTGTAACTTATTTATTTATTTATGTATTTATTTATTATTTATTCATTTATTTTGAGATGGAATCCTGCTCTGTCACACAGGCTAGAGTGCAGTGGCGCGATCTCGGCTCACTACAACCTCTGCCTCCCAAGTTCAAGTGATTCTCCTGTCTCAGCCTCCTGAGTGGCTGGGATTACAGGCCCATGCCATCATGCCTAGCTAAATTTTGTATTTTTAGTAGACCTCAAGTAATCCTCTGCCTTGACCCTCCAAAGTGCTGGGATTACAGGTGTGAGCCACCGCGCCCAGCCCCATGTGCCACAACCTCTTGGTTTTGTTCCTAGCTTGTAAAATACTGAGTCTATTTTATAATGATATTGTGAAAACTAAACAATGTATAGGAAAGGGCTTTATAAATGGGAAACTGAATATAATACAAGGTAGTATGAATCAATACTTTTGTAAACTTTAGAGTAAAATAAACTTATTATCAATCATTTCTGCAGCAACCATCACACACAGGATGTGATATAAACATATCAATACTGACTATCTTCTGAAATGCTCATAGTATAAACTCTCTGAGTATACCAGAACACAATTTTAAAAACACATAAAGGAGTTTTAAAACTGAAAGACAAAATGTTTTCACAAGACTTTAGAATAACAAACATCTAAATAATTTCACTCTTTCTGACTTCTTGAATTACATTAAGACTTTATTGTGGGAATCTGCTTCTCAAAGTCCCAGTCTTCTAGGAAACCAGAGAAACACTGGAAGACTTTGAAGCCAAACTAAAGAAAAGAAATGGATGTGCAAATATTGGTATTGGTCTGTCTCCTTCCCATACCTAAGTTGTTTCCTGGAACCATAGTAATTGAGATGCTAAGGGAGGTTTACTAACTCAGTTCCCATTTTGTGCAATTTATATTGCAGGGAATAAACTGTACTCTAATAGTCTGGAAAAATTATTTCAGGAAATGACTTTGGCCCTAGAGAGTATCTGATTCATTGTAATTTCCAGGATAAAACATTCACCTACAATTTTTAATCCCCCAGAGGGCTTAATCTACTTATGTTAATGCAAGCAAAGGGGCTGGTAGAAAGGGACTCTTACTCTAAAATGATTATAATTATCATTTTAGGGAGACCATGTGTTTAAGGTAATCTATCATAGATGTTTAATTCTCCTCTTTCATCAAAATAGAAACACTTGAAGTTTACTTTTTTACTCTTGGGAATGGGTGGGGAATAACTGAATAGGCTTGTAACCCTAAATCATAACCTACAATTCAGAGTTCAAGCTCACTAGTTCAACAACACTTTGCTGTATCTGGCTCCTGTTCCTCTCTGGCCTCCTGCATGTCTTTTCTTCAAACACTCTTCACTCCAAATGGAACTAGTGCTCTTGTTTCTGCATGCACCAGGCTGTTTGAGGTCTCCATGTCATCACCCAGGCTCTTTCCTCTCCCTGGAAATTGCTTTAGTAAATTCTACCTATACTCCAAAATTCAGCTCAAGCATCCTTTCCCCAGGAAGGTTTTCTGGCCCCCAGACTAATTTAGCTGCTCCTCCTCCAGGATTCCCCACAATCCCGGGCCACCCTTTGCCTCAGCACTTATAACAACAGGCAAAAGTGATTTCCATGTCTCTCCCACACACTAGATGCTAAGGTCCTGCGGGTAATGGTCCATTCCTTATATGACTTTATGTTCACAGCACTTAGCTCAGGGCTGGCACTTAATAGGCATCACAGATGTTGGTTGGTTGAAGGAATGAATGTAAATGAATGAAAGATGTGATCTAAAGATGTGTGGCATGAAATCTCAGAGAATCAATTATGCCACTTGCCTATACTGCAATAACTGCATATTTTCTAATTTTTCGAGTAGCCAGATTTTTTTTCTTTTAAGTGGGAAAAGCTGAACTCAACTTCTCTGGTAAACAAGTAGGCAATACAGGGAGTCACTTTGGGTGATCGTCCTTGTTCTTCGAAGAGTCATTTGAATTGCTGTTATAGGTTAAGCAAATGTAAGCCAAGATCCTCTGCTTATAGAAAAGGTTATATACCCTTTTCTAATGCCCTTTGGTATTCACAATTCCAAGAAGGGGTGAAGTGATTTGGACAAGGATCCCTCGGCTTTGGGACAACTTCTCAGTGGGCCAGAGTGTCCCTGAACAATGCTCAGGGGCAGGGAAGGACAAGGGGCTCCCTAAAATAAACCTTGAGGGTAGAAAGGTACTAGAATTGTTAAATGGACCCAGCACTGAGCTGATTGAGAAGAGCAACAGCAACCCCAAGTCAAGAGATGGCAGATGCTGGAACTACTTTAACCCAGATTCAGGGCACATTTGCACTCTGGGGAAGTGGCTATGTGTGAACCAAAGTTGCTGGTGCCTAACAGCTGTAACATTTGAGGACCCAGGCCTCCTTTTGCCATGGAGCTTCTCAATGGAGAACTTCTAGATCATCCTTACCGCTATTACTGGGGTGTATCTTCAAACCAGCACCAAGAACAAGGCAGAATACTCATGGCCCATCCCCTTATCTTCCATTTTCCCTCCTGTGTCAGAGGCTGTGGATTTGTTACAGCATTTTCCATTGCTGCTTTCCGGTATAGAGGTTGGAAAACCAAATACAGGATTTACTTCCCAGCTCTTTTGCAGGTGGGAGTGGCTATATGGCCCAGCTCTGACCCAAGCGTGATACACAAGCAGAATCTCCCAGGCGACTTTGGATTAAGCCTTTGTTCTTTTTATAAAATGGAGGTATCAGGCACCCACCTCTCTCTTTCTTCCTGCCTTAAATACATGTCAGATGCTTGAGCTTCAGCAAGCATCTTGCAGAAGAGAGGAAACAAGCCATTACATTATGAGCGAAGCAAAGAGACAGAACCTAGGACATTGCTACCACCATGAAGCTGCTATATCTGGTGACTACTTATGTAAATAAAGTAAAATATTTCACTTAAGTAAAATGAAACCCAATATGTTAAGTTACTGTTAGATTATCTGTTACATACAGTTAAAGGATTCTGAACTGACACAATTTTCATACCCGCAGTCATATGTATCAGACACTAGTAGCCACAAGTGATATTTAGACACATTGGACAGGGGTTATCCATTAGCAGGAAATCTGGTGGACTGTTACTCAGTACAGAATGGTGCTCTCGAGCACTGCACTCCAGGACACCAAGGGGATGTTGTGTTCAGCCAAACAAAAAACACTCTAGGTATAATTATGTTAACTTTTAAGTTGAGATTTGAAGAACAAAATTCCAGTCAAAAAAGCAACTATTGACTACATTAATGATCAAATGGGACAGATTTTTCTACCCCCTTTTGATTTCTTCCCCCTTTTGATTTCAGCGTAAGCACTGAATATGGATGAAATATTTAATACCACAAAGTGAAAGAAAAACTGTTAATGCTAGATATGAAAATAAATAAGTTAAATTTAAAAATATATTCTAATGGTATCTTTACTTGATCTTAGTTGAAAAGGTGAAGGGACAATTGACTAACCTAAGTATCTTTGAATCCTAAAAATAAGAAGTAAAATATTCAGAAGGTCAAACGGAAGCCAAATTGTTAATGGTAGTTACCACGTCTCCATAATTGGAGTTGGAGGGAAGTGGGACCAGGTATTGCTTTTTGTGTTTGTTTATTTCTATATTGTTTTATTATGAGAATGTATTACTTTATTTTGTGAATAGGACAAAATTTCTAGTAAATAAACCAATCTTTAAGATGACATATATCCAATGCTTACTAGGCATACTCCCATTTAACCCTCAATACCATGTGGTAAGCAATATTTTCACCACTGAGGAAACAAAAATGTAAGATTTTAAGTAACTTTACAATATCACACAGCTGATAATTGGAAGAGTCAGGTCCAAAGATTCTTCAGCACAGATCCAAAGCCCATTCTCTCACCAATGTGCTATACTGGTTATATCTCCCAGATGTTTCTGGATATGGAGGTATTCTCAATTCTGTTTACCAGACATGAGAGTTTCTTTGAATGCTACTTTTGTTAGACAGTTTTTAAGAAAACTGTTCTCCAATAGCTTTTTCTCTCAGACTTTAAGTATCTTTAGAAACAGGAATAACCCTACCTTCTTACAATGTTTAAATGGGGACTTACTCACTGTTCACATTTGTCAAGACCATCTGGGGCTGGTGTGACCTTAGAGTCCTCTCCTGGTAACTTTGGAGAAGTGATTTAGATGCAATAGTCACTCTCAGTACAATAAACCAGACATTCTGAAGGAGTTTCATGGCACAAAGAACTGGGTAGCTGGTTAGGTTGTATCTCTAATAAGAAAACAAGTTTAAATGTGAGGAAAATTAATTCTTCAAAAATAGCCTTCATAACTATATAAAATATCCACCTGAGAAACAGAAAATCCAGACTGCATTTAATGTCAGAGGAAATGAGTGCTTTATTTGATTAAAATACTGACGTGCAATTTTGCCCACTATAAGTCAAGAAGCTGGTCTGGAATATTTCACAAGACTCCAGATTCTGCATCTGTTTTTTTATAGCTCTCGAGGCCTATGTAAGGACTTGACCCTGGGTTATCCAAACTAAATCTTGGATAGGCTTCCACTAATAAAACTTAGTAAAAGAAAAAGGCTTATTTTAAGAGAATGTGAAATTACAGCCTACAACCATAAAGTGTTAAGAATATTAACTCTAAGGGAAGAGATGATTGGTCTGATTATTCAATAATCTAGTCATAGGCCATTTTAGTATTATTTTATGTATTTTATATATATTTTAAAATGTCAGTGCAGAAGGATGTTATGGACAGGAAGTGCTTTACATGGTATCCCACCAAATGGATGTGAAGGAGACTCAGGTTGAATTCCAAATTTTTCCATTCATAAGCTATAGGATGCCTAGATTTTTACCTCAAGCTCAGGTTTGCATACCCAACTCCTTAACTCTATATCTCTAGGCATCATTTTGTTATTGATTTCTAGATTAATTGCACTGTGTTCAGAGAACATGTTGTGCATTTTAATCCTTTAGCAATTATCAATACTTGCTTTATAGCCCAGTATATGTTCCTTTTTATAAATGCCCTGTGTGTGTTTGGAAAGAATGTGCATTCTGCAATCACTGGGTGAAGTTAGGTCAACTTTATTAATGACATTGTTTAACTCTTTGATAACTTCCCTTATTTTTTTCTGCTGGCTCTATTAATTACTTTGTACTTAAAAATCTAATATGGTGAATTTGTCCACTTCTATTAATTTTTGCTTCACATAATTTGATACCATGTTATTAGGTGATCACAAATTTACAACTGTTATAACTTACTGATGAATTGAACATTATCATTATGAATAATCTATCTTTTTAATAATGCTTTTGACTTAATATCTGTCTTCTCTGACATTAAGGCTATCTGACCAGCTTTCTCTCATTTGCATGGTATGTATTTTTTCCATCCTTTTACTTTTAACCTTCCTGTATACTTCAGTTTGATATATATCTCTTATAAACTTCATATAGTTGATTTTTTAAATCCTGACAATCTTTTAATTGGAGCACTTAGTCTGTTTGCATGTATTTACTGACATTTCAGATTAGATTAAATTGCGGTCCTATTTTGAGCTATTTATCCCACCTGTTCTGTGTTTCATTTATTTTCTTTCCCTGCCTTCTTTTGGCTGGTCATTTCTTGTAGCTCCAGTTTTTTTTTCCTCTCATAGTTTGAAAATTTTCAATTCTCTTAATGTATACCCTAGAAATTACAAAGTGCATACTTATTGAAACCCAAAATTAATCAGTAACTATCCTTTTCCCAAGGAATGTAGAATGCATTAACTCTATTGATTCCTTTTCCTGCTTATATATTGTCATGGTATGTTATTTTCATTGTTCACTTTTTAAAACTCCACAAGACATTGTTTTATGCACTCAATTCTCATTCAGATTTACCCATGTACTTACCACTTTGTTCCTCATTCCCTTTTGCCTCTCTTCCCTTCCATCTGGGATCATTTTCCTTCCACATGAAGAATATACCCTGAATCTCCTTATTTTGCAGATGGCAACTCTGTTTTTGCTATTCTGAAATGTCCTGATCTTACTCTTTTTTAAAGAAATATTTTCACTGGATATAAAATTCTAGGTTAGCAATTATTTTTCTTTGTTTATTGAATATATCATTCTACTGGCTTCTGACTCAGTTGTTGTCTGACACTACTTTGAATGCAATCTCTTTTTTTTCTAGCACATTTTAAGGTTTCTTTGCCTTCGGTATTCTGTAGATTCACTGTGTGTGTGTGTAGGGTAAATTTGTTTTTATTTAATCGAATTTATAAGCTTCTGAATTTGTGAATTGGTGTCTTCATTCTGGAAAATTCTGTTAATTGTTCTTTCGCTTGGCTTCTTTTTCATATTTTTCACCTTTTGTCTCTCTGTGGTACATTCTGAGTGATTTTTTATGATCTTCCAATTATCTTTCTCTTTTCAGCTGTGTCTAGTTTAAATTTTTAGGTTTTTTTTTTTTTTTTTTTTTTTTTTTGAGATGATGGAGTGTTGCTCTGTCGCCCAGGCTGGAGTACAGTGGCGCAATCTTGACTCACTGCAACCTCAACCTCCCAGGTTCAAGCAGTTCTCCTGCCTCAGCCTCCTGAGTAGCTGGGATTACAGGCATGCGCCACCACGCCTGGCTAATTTTTTTGTGTTTTTAGTAGAGATAGGGTTTCACCGTATTGGCCAGGCTGGTCTCTTACTCCTGACCTTGTGATTCTCCCCACTCAGCCTCCCAAAGTGCTGGGATTACAGGCATGAGCCACTGCTCCCTGCCTAGTTATGTTTTTTTTTTTTTATTTCTAGAAATTTTCTCAAATTTGTTCTGTCTTTTGATTGCCTATTTCCTGAAGATATGTTTAAGCTTGCCTTTTATTTCTTGCAACATAGTAAGCACAATTAATATGTCTAATAATGTTAATTTCTGAAGTCTTTGTTTTGCTTTTAATTCTTGCTAGTTCTCAGTATGCTTGGTTTTTCCTTGTGTGCTTACTTAATTTTGACTATAAGTAAATCACTGCCCTTGAAAAAGTTATCTTGGTCAATACCTGGAGGCCTGCTATGAAGGTGGGTAACTTTCCCCAGAGAGAATGTGTTTGTTTTTGCCAAGTTTCTAGTTCAAGGACCTGTTTGGGACCATTTTAAACTAATCATCACTTGAGGGTTTTTGGACCACATAGGTTATGGCAATTTGGTTTGCAAATCTCAAGGGCTCCAAGTATATCCAAAACTTGGATACAGTTCCAAGTTTTCGGAGAGGGTTTGGCTTTTTGTTTTCCTTTTGCTTCTCACTATCAAAACATCTTCTTTTGTAGTATTTGACTATGCAGAGATGGAGAAGGTTTTTTCTATTTCTTTAAGTTCACCTTTACCTCACAGGCTCTGTGGAGTTCCAACTTTCCATGCTGGTTGGACTTTTAACTTTGGTCCCCATGGCAAAGCTGAAGTTTGGGGCTAGGGACATTTGCCAGGGTATGGGACAGACACCCACCCACACCCACACTCCATGCACCTCCTGGGCCAGGCTGGACCGGTTCTGGCCCCAGGGTGGACTTGGAAATCTCACCACAGGCACCTTACAGAGGTGGGTGTGGGGAGACTACTCTTGCTCACCTGAGGCACAAGCGGTTCATGGGTTCCTGGGAAGATTTAGAGCTTTCTACACAACGAAATCCCTCCTTCGTCATCTTCAGGCCAACGGAGACACTTGGCAGCTAAAGAAAGTTGACCGTGTTTTTATTTTTATATTTATTTTTTGTTTTTCATTTTAAACAAGAAGTTTATTTAAACAACCCCATGCTTGGCTTCAAGGGAAAACTCTCCAGGATTTTTTAAGAGTCATTCATCCCTACTTAGACAGATTGCCCTACATGTTGACAGCTAGTATAAAGAAGTTATAAAATGTACTTGGATTTAAATAAGTGAAAAAGATTAAAATTCTCCAGCCTATCAATGTATTTAAGAATTTTTCTGTTGTTGTTCTTTCTTTGTGTTTGTTTTTAGTAAAACAGAGCAAAATGCCAGGCGCGGTGGCTCACTCCTGTAATCCCAGCACTTTGGGAGGCCGAGGCGGGCGGATCACGAGGTCAAGAATTCAAGACCAGCCTGGCCAACATGGTGAAACCCCATCTCTACTAAAAATACAAAAATTAGCTGGGCATGGTGGCAGGTGCCTGTAATCCCAGCTACTCAGGAGGCTGAGGCAGGAGAATCACTTGAAATCAGAAGGCGAAGGTTGCAGTGAGCCAAGACTGTGCCACTGCACTCCAGCCTGGGTGAAAGAGCAGAACTCCATCTCAAAAAAAAAAAAAAAAAAAAAAAGAGCAAAATAACTTACTAAAATATAAAATATAAAGATGAGAGCTGAGTAAGTCAGCTCACATGGACAATTGCTTTAGGAAAAAATACTTGAAGTACATCCTTTAATTCTCTGGTTTCTTGCTTTTACTTAGATTTTGGCCCAGCAGTTTTTTGGTCTCTTGTCAGTCAGCCCCTCAATCCTTTGAATAAAGAATTTTAAAATTTATCTAGCATTCTAAATTGTTTTAAGTAACGGAGTTGATCACAAAAAACCTGAAAGCTTGCTCCCTTATTTCCTTTTTAGTTTTAAGTTTACCTTATCAGTGAGGCCTTCCTTATCCACACTTTATTTTTAAAATCTCCTATACCCCTCCCTACCCTCCTTTGTCTTATTTTTTTCACAGCCATTATCATCTGTGTATCAACTGTATATTTACTTGTTTATTTTCCATCTCACCTGCACTAGAATGTAAGTTCCATGAAGAAAGGGGCTGTTTTATTCTCATTGCCAAAAACAGTGCCTGGCAGACAATAAACAATATTTGTTGAATCAATGAAGAAAAGCTCTCCACTGAGCTCCATACTGAAGTATCCTACTGTCAACTTGAAATCAAATAGGTTTTTCACTCTTAGACACAATAAAACTTTTGATTTTCTGTCCACCCCCAACACCATCCCAGCTTTCCTATTCCTCATTTCAGTAAATAGCACCACGTTCTTTCAGTTACTAAATCAGAAACTTGAGTCATTTGTAGTTCTTCCTTTTCCCTCAAAACCTAGATCCAATTCATCAGCAAGGTCTATAGGTCAAACCTCCAAAATACAGCTCAAATCCATCCTCAATTCTCCATCTCTATGACCACTCCTTGTGGCAACCAGAATATTCTTCTGAAGTTTTGCATCCCATATTTCTCCCCTGCTTCTTGGTGCACTTGAAATAAATTCTTTACCATCCATGTCTTCCAAAACCCTGCGTAATGCTGCCTCTTCCTAGCTCTCCAGCCTCATCTCTATTGCCCCCCTTGCCCATTAGACTCCAGCCACATTGGTTGTATTCCATTCTTCACATAAGCCAAAATCTTTCCGGAGTCTTCCAGATGCTATTCCTCTATCCAGAATGCTCTTTATTCTCATCTAGGGTGGCTATCTCATCCTTTTAAGTCTTAGCTCAAATATCACCTCATTATGGAGGACTCACCTCACCACTGTACTTAAGTAGGTGGTCCTCTAATCATAATCATTCTCTATCACTTCCCTCTACATCTTCATTGCATTATTGCAATTTGAATTATATACTTATCAGTTTGGGGAATTCTTGAACAGGAGAGATTTTCTGTACTTCTAGTGAGAGTGGATCTCTGCTTGGTATTGGCACAGGATCCTGGGCCCACAAGATTTTCTGCCTTTCTCAAGGGCAAAAGATTACTGTTTTTACATGTCCTTCAAGAGCAGTGGATCTCTGCCTGGGCCATTAGGGCAGGAAGGTTTGCCATCTCTCCCCCAGTGGCTTTGCTTTGTACAAGAGAAAGGTCTGAGGAAGTGGGCAGTGTTTCACGCCTGTCAGCCCATCATTTCATGCATGCCTGTGTCACTGAGGGGTCTCTTCTCACCAGTCTCTTGCCCCAGTCTTTCTCATTAGCATGCAGTTGAGGCTTGTGGAAAGTGATTGTGAACCTCTGTCATGTCAAGGGACCTATTTAAACTGATATTGATTACACAGTTGGCCTTTAAAGAATTCCTTAACATTTAATGATTTCTGTCAGTAGACAATTCTCCATGGGTCTCTCACATTTTTGCATGATTGCATGGAAAGGTACTGCCTGCCTTTCTTCTGGACTACCTTTTCAAGGATATTTATATAAAGAACAGCCTGGAAAGACCAATAGAGATATCATCTCCCTAGAGAGTATCTCCCTCTAGAAGGACAAGTTTGATTACTGTCCAGTATAATAAAGATCTATTCCTCCAGAGCAAAGGGCATGCATGCTAAATATCCATTATAACATATTTGGGCTCCCTAAACTCAGGGTTCTTTCTGTTATGCAATCCACTCTGTGTGCAGGTATCACCTGGACCTCTTCTGATAACACTGTGGGGATGCTGACACTCCGACTAATGCTACTGGTGTAATAAAGTCCTTTGTTTCCAATTCAGGAATCTGAGGCAAACTAACTTGCAAGGAGTGCTTCTAAATTCTTTATAATTTATTCTCACTTGCTTTAATGGCAGCCTCCTATTCTCTGATGAAGGCAAAACAGTTCACATATCCTGTTTCTCTTTGAAGGGGACTTGTCACTCTTTGAAATTCAGTTCCTTTGGCTACTTTCTCTGAAGGATATAAGAAAATTGATAAATTTTTGTTGTTAGGATAGGAGTAACATTGTCTTGCAGTTTTCTACGTCTTAGGTGGAAGTGAAAATCCTAAGGTGTATCTACTCGATTACTTTTTATTACTGAAATAGACACTGATTTGCAAACTCTTATTGTTCACCTTACACATATTTAATTACTTTTTAAAGAAGCATAGGCATAAGTGAGGAACTCTAGGAATTTTGAAAAACAGCTCGTGAAACATTTCATCACAAGGGCTGGAAACAATGGACCAAGGATATTTACATTCTAGCACAGGTGAGGCAGGAGAGGGTGAAATAATATGACTCATGAGACATGAAATGTTATACAAAATGTAAATATGCACTGGCGACCAACCCTACTAGAGGACCAGGAGAATATACAGGAAAGCTATAACCACTCAGGGTAGAGAGAGGGCTTTTGGAGCTCTCAAAAATGGGTAAGAGGTAGCAGAAAGACCTGAAAAGGATACAGAGGATGGTAGAAGAACAGCAAGCAGTGTCTTGGGGATTCATGGTTTTTCTATTTCTTCATTGTTTTTCCTCCTCTGCATTCACTCTCTTTTTCTGGTAAACAGAATTTGGATTTCTTTTGTGAGATTCACCCCTTCTGCATTTGAAAGTACTGTTAGGGCCGGGCGCAGTGGCTCACGCCTGTAATCCCAGCACTTTGGGAGGCCGAGGCGGGCGGATCACAAGGTCAGGAGATCGAGACCATCCTGGCTAACACAGGGAAACCCCATCTCTACTAAAAACACAAAAAATTAGCCGGGCGAGGTGGCGGGCGCCTGTAGTCCCAGCTACTCGGGAGGCTGAGGCAGGAGAATGGCATGAACCCGGGGGGCAGAGCCTGCAGTGAGCCGAGATCACGCCACTGCACTCCAGCCTGGGTGACCAAGCGAGACTCCATCTCAAATAAATAAATAAATAAATAAAATACTGTTAGGACTGCCAATTAAAGTGCCTAGTGGTCCCCTAACCAACTTTCCCAGGACTCCCTGAGTCACAAAAGATAGTAAATCAGTTGGAACCGATTCTTCACTGAGCTGTTAGTTCCTGTTACACAGAACAGACTTAGTTCCTATCCTTTCAAAGCCTACTTTACTTTTTCTTCTCTGTGAATTATCCAATATTCTCATTTTGCTTAAGTGAGCCAAAGTCGAATTTCTGTTGCTTGTAACCAAAGAAACCCAACTGATAGAGGGAGAGTGGTCCGAGAGGGCACAGTGGAGACTAAAGGAGGCTTGTGAAGGTATTCTGAAACCCAGACACTTTATTTAAAATTATGACAAACATTAATGACTGTCAAAATTGCTGACAAAGGTACAATGACTAAGCAATTTCATGTTTCTATGTGCTGGTACTTAATTAGCATTTTCTAATAATTAGGCTAATGATGTTTTATTACTACAACCTATATTTAGAGTTCACTCTCATTGTTCCCATATTAGAAATAAAAGCAAATGAAAATGAGTTTAATCAGGCATCACATGCTACAGGAAAAAAAATTGAGGAGAGGGTGCTGAGAGTAGCAACGGGTCTATGTTATAAGGAAATATATGCACTTACTGAGTTTTAGCTGTTAGATTCCTTAAATTTCAGTTATAAAAATCAGTTGTATCAGGCAAACCATATGTGAAGAAAATTTAAAGAACAAGATATCAAGTAGATATTAAAAAGAAAAATACAGTAGAGCACCAAATAGAATATTCTCAACAAATGTCTCAAAAAATGCACAGAGCAAAAATGAGACAAACAACTGCTACAAACAGATCAGTCTAACAGCTAAGTGATTTGGAATGAAAATTAACTCTTTGGCTAATCTTTCCCTCCCTCACAGAATGAGGCCGTGTGGCTCAGGGAGATCAACTGATTTGTCTGAAGCTTGCAAGGGTAGATTTCAGAGACGCTTCAGATGAGGGAGCCTCTCTTTCCATGAGGAGATGGCAGAATGCTGAATCCCTGTTCAATCTGAAATTTAGCCATATAACTTGTAGAAATAAGAGGAGGTTTTAAGACTCACTTAAAATATAAATATCATTCTGAGTCCTCTTCTAGGGTTATCCCATCACTTTCTGAAAATATTAGAAAAGATCAAGTTGTATCCAGGTAATAATCAGGATAAGACCATCTAATACATATCTTTAATAGCCAAAATTTTTTCAAACATGATACGTGAGCAGAACCAGGAAATTCTGGAAACCTAGTCTGCCACAGGTTACTTTTAACACAAGGTTACTCAGCCTTGGCACGACTACCATTTCGGGCAGGATAATTCTTTGTTGTGGGGCGCTGTCCAATGCAGGTTATTTAGCAGGATCCCTGGCCTCTACTCACTAAATGTCAATAACTGCCCTAGTCATGACATCAAAAATGTCTCCCGACAATTGCTAAATATCCCCTGAGGTTGACAAACGCTGATTTTAATATCATGACTCCAATAAAACAAATATAACTGTCAGCTGCATGAATGCACTGTGGAGTTAACTGTGATTAGAGTTTAATTTTAATCCAAATAGAAATCATGGCTAGAACTAAGTTAATTATGCTAGTTTTTGTCTAGTACTGAACTGTCCAATACAGTAGTCACAGGCCACATGTGGCAAGGAACACTTGAAATATGGCTACTCGGAAGTAAGAAATGCAGTAAGTATAAAATATGTACTGCATTTAGAAGACTTGGTACAAAAAAGGATGTAAAATATCTCATTAATAATTTCTATATTTCGCTATTTTGGGTATACTACTGGGTGAAAAGTAATATCAAAATTATTTTGCCCTGCTCACTTTTACTTTGTTTAATGTAGTTACTAGAAAATTTTAAATAAAATATGTGACTTATATTATAATTCTATTGGATGGCACTAGTCTGCAAACTTGAAATGATTTAATATTATTCTTTAAGGAAATAAATTAAGTCTATCATGCCAAAAAAATTTTGGAAACCACAGCCCTATAAAATTAGTTCACTTTTGAGCATCCTAACTCTTTATCACGTCTAAATGATTTTTCTGCTTCTTTAAACCAATTACTTCTATTCCAATGCTTTATTCTCAGAGTTTCAATCGGTTCTTTTCTGACTGCCGATTTATCTTCATGTTGTTCCTTATCATTCTCCTGCACATCTGTTTCTTTCATACACTTGGGAACTTTCCTAGTGCCACGTTGAGATGTTGCGGCATCTATCATACTTAGAAAATCATAAGCTGGAAGAGGAGGTTTCCATTCTTGAGCAGGTAAAATTGCTGGAAGGAAGAAACAATCAAAGGTTAAAGATTAACAGCTATAAATCGTCACATCAACATATTAGAAAATGTTTTATTTTGAAAAATATATTTGTAGAAGTGAAAGTTTTATTAGTTTTACTTATCTAAGCAAAGCTAGGAATTTTTTTACTGTCATTGTCAACAAGAAATTTGATACATTTGTCACTACTAGCCATTTTCATTTTTAGATTACATTTACAAGCTATTATTTTCTTTAAAAAAAGTATGAATAGGGGAAAAAAGGTCCATAATCTCAATGCCGATTAACCTTTGCTAAGGTTTTCAAAAACAGCAATATGTGTAACAAGATCACATACACATATGTAAAACGTTAAATGAAAAAGTCACCTGCTTCCCTCTCTACTGCCAAAGAAATGTAACTATTTCTTATAAATCATTCGAGAAAAAAATTTTGGAACATATGTAATTATTTATTATAGAGTTATTTATACAAGTGTTTCCTTATATTTTAAAGCATTTTCTGTTCTTGAAGCTTTTGATTAACATCTTTTCCACACACTTTATGAAAACAAGTTCATTTCATAAAAATAATTATAGACAATAAATAATTAAAAATTGCTGTGGAATCAACTGTACTATACATAGTGATTAAATAATTTCTCTTAGATGAGCTTCATGGCAATGAATCTTAACATTATTTTAAAATATTGGTTATTGAAAGAGGAAAACTGATTAAGGCTGATAACATAGAGATAAATTAGCTAACTTTCTTCCATTTACTAGACAGTTTACAAAATAGTTTCAGAATTTAGTTGGCCCATTTAGGGTACTATTTTAAAAAATAAACTATATAAGGAAATGTACAAAGTAAACCTTTTAAAAATAAATTCCAATGAAAGAATCTATGCACTGTTACATGCTAAAAAATAATAATAAATGCTCATAAGATACAAACTTGAGCATCTCTCATAAATTGAGTATCTTTAAGAGCTTAGAAAAAACATATATATTGCAATTTCCTAGAGTAAAGCTCAAACAAAAATCTGTATATGTACACATGCAGTACAGCTGTACTTTGCTTATTGATATATAATTTCTTCACTCATACTCAACTATATGAAATCCTGGTAATTGGTACATCAGCAGGGCAATAAATTTAGGCTACTCATGAAACTGATGTTTCAAATTGGTGTTGCCAGGTTAGCAGGTTCAAAAGTGACAAATGGATGACATATTTTCTTGAACATAATGAACAGGTAAGAAGAATAACTGTAGTTTGCAATATGCAGATAAATGTATATTAAAGTATCTGTAAGAGTCCAGTTTAGGCTGGGCATGGTGGCTCACATGTACAATCCCACCACTTTGGGAAGCCAAGATGGGAGGACAGCTTGGCCCCAGGAGTTCAAAACCAGCCTGGGCAACATAGTGGTAGCCCTTCTCTACAAAAAATCAAAAAATAAAAATAAATTAGCTGGGCATGGTGGCACGTGCCTGTAGTTCCAGCTACTCGGGAGGTTGAGGCGGAAGGTACACTTGAGCCCAGATGGTTGAGGCTGCAATGAGCCGTGATTACACCACTGCACTCAAACCTGGATGAGAGAGTGTGACACTGTCTCAACAACAACAAAGAGTCCAGTTTAAAGTGTAGCATGTAGCAAATATTATATTTAACAATAGTTATTTTTTAAGGTCAACACTGCGGCCTAGCGGTCTGAGACTATGACAAAATGCCTGAAACATCCCAATTCTGCTAATTACTTGCTGAGGGAACTCTACAAAGATCTTAATGTTTTCAACTGCAAATAAAACTGTAATAATGTATGGGTAATAAATACATTATTCATCAAATCAGTAATGATAATAAATAATACTAATTAACATTTATTGAGCCTTTACTATACACATGCACTATTCATTTTATCTTTACAATTTTATAGACGAGAACACTAAAGCATACAAATATCAGGGAACTGGGCCAAAGTTAAGTGTAAATCTCAAGTAAGAATTGCCAGTGGCCACAGTTTCACAGAAATTAAGATATGCAATAAGTAAGGTGAGGCAGACACCAGTGGCACCATGTTACTGAGTTAGGCTATTTCCAGAATGTTCCTACAACTCATCCGACCCCAACCCCATCTCAGAACACCACTGTTGGCAAAGATCTATCTAACAGAGATGCTGAGAGCAGGCCCTGCTAGCACAGAAGGCAGAATCCAATACACAGAGACTGTTCAGTTTTCTTTTTCCTGCTGCAGAGGCTACAGGATTAATTTAAGAATAGGAGCAGTGATGCATAGAAATGATGGAAACCCGTAAAGAATGAGCTGGCAAAGATGTTAACAAAATTGCAATAGAAGACACGCCAGTCTCTCAGAAAACTCAGAAGTATAACGTTGATTCTTTCCTCTGGGTAATGGTTTGAGCTGAGGAATCAAAGCCCTCAGGGATGTTCCTTGCAGGAAAGGATCTTTACATAGGTGATGATAATACATTAGAGTTTATACTTTACAAAGTGCCTCTGCATTCATTTTTTAATAACTATGTGATGTATTCAGAGTGGAAACTATTAAACTCATTTTATAGTTGTAGAGGAGGAAACCAAGAATGACTTGCCTAGAGCCACATAGTAATCTAGGAAGCTAGGGCAGGAGCTCAGGTTTCTATGTTTTGAACATGTCTGCTTTTTTTTTTTTTTTTTTTTAAGTAATTCTGTTTGAGAAACATTCTAGCCCTAGCTACACATAATCTTGAGTTACAGTCCATGGGAACTCTGTGTCACTGCAGCTACAACATGACAATACTCATTTGCTTCTATAAAATAGCAATGCAGACAGTTAAGTGAACATAGACTTTCTGAGGAGTTTAAGAGCTACAGCTGAAAAGATCCCTATACCATGTGGTGAGAATGAAGTAGTCAAAGATGACTGATAACTACAGAAAGGTCTCCTTCCAGATCCACTTAAACAAAATATTGAATTTAATTAATTAATTCTGTCCCGTTTCCTAGGAAAATATTAAAACCAATAAATTGCCTCAGAAAATTAAGACAAAAATATCATCTAAAGGAACCCAGAATAGCCAAAATTGTCTTGAAAACAAAGAATAGGGCCAGGTGCAGTGGCTCATGCCTGTAATCCCAACACTTTGGGGGGCTGAGGAGGGAGGGTTGCTTGAGGCCAACAGTTCAAGACCAGCCTGGACAACACAGTGAGACCCTGTCTCTACAAAAACAAAAACAAAGACAAAAACAAAAAAATGAAGCCAGGCTTGGTGGTGCATGCATGTAGTCCTAGCTACTTGGAAGGCTGAGGTAGGAGAATCCCTTGAGCCCAGGAGTTCGGGGCTGTAGTGTGTGATGATCGCACCCCTGCACTCCAGCCTTGGTGACAGAGTGAGACCCTGTCTCAAAAAAAATAACAAAATGAAATAAAAGAAAATGAAAAACAAAGTAGGAGTAATCAAATTTCCCAATTTTAAAATCTACTACAAAGCTACAATAATCAAGACAGTGCAGTACTAGCATAAAGACAGGCACCAAACCATATACATGTATGCTCATAGCAGCATTATTCATAATCGCCATAAGTAAAGGCAACCCAACTGTCCATCAACTAAGGAATAAACAAAATGTGACATATCCTTGCAGTGGAATATTATTCATCCATAAAAAGGAATGAACTACTGGTTCATGCTATAACGTGGTTGATCCTTGAAAACCTTATGATAAGTGAAAGAAGTCAGACATAAGAAGCCACATATTATATGATACCATTTATATGAAATGTCTAGATTAGGCAAATCCATAGAACCATAAAATAGATGAGTGGGTGCCAAAGGGTGGATAGAGGAGAAAATTGAGAGTGACCGCTAATGGGTATGGGGTTTCTTTTTGGGGTGATGAAAATGTTCTGGAATTCAACAATGGTAGTAGTTGCATGATCTTGAGAATGCCTGAAAAAGTACTGAATTGTACACTCTAAAAGGGTGAATTTTATGGTATATTATATTTCAATAAAAATACCATCCATATTTTATTTAAGCATAATATGTTTGTTAAAACTGCTTAACTTGACAGAAATGAAGCAGACCACTTAGGAAGGATGGGTTTGGTGTAATGATTGACCCTAAAATAAATTAAAGTAGCTGATGAAATACATACAAATATACATAATGGTAGATTCATACTATACCTGATAGTTGACATAATATTGAATGAGAATTTGTATACCAGAGTGTATGTGTATATACATACGTACACACATACATACATATTTACATATATACACACACATACAAACCTTATTTCAGGACTCTGTCATGGAACAGTATCAAAATATTATTTTAGGATAGACCATCTAGTATCTAATAAAATCCTTATATAGTACCTAGGAGACTTTTTGTTACATTTCACACTATTTGTTCAATATACTATAATAATCTAGGTTGCTACATGTTTACTTATTTAAACTATAGCTACAGGCCTATTGTTGCCACAACTATGTATAAATGGTTAAGACTCAAATATAAATTAATATATATATCCATACTACAAATATAAATTTTTCTATGTTTTCAGAAAAGTGGATATTATGGCATGTTATAAGCCAGGATAATAGATTCTGGGCCAAGATCTATTTTCTTGTGGTTCAAAATTCTGGCTCTGTCCAAATCAGAAAGGAAGTTAAATTGTTCCTGTTTGCAGGTAGCATGATCTTATATACAGAAAACGCCTAAAGACTCCACAAAAACACCTGTTAGAACTAATCAACAAATTTAGTAAAGTTGCAGGATACAAAATAAACAAACTGGACCTTATCTCACTCTTAACTCAAAAGATATTAAAGACTTAAATGTAAGAACTTAAATTACTAAAAGAAATTATTAGACAAAAACATTATAGAAACTCTCCAGGATATTGGACTGGGCAAAGATTTCTAAATACCCCATAAGCACAAGCAACCAAAGCAAAAATGGACAAATGGGATCACATCAAGTTAAAAAAAAGCTTCTTCACAGCAAAGGAAACAATAAACAATCAACAATGTAAAAAGATAACCCACAGAATGGAATAAAATATTAGCAAACTACCTGTCTGACAAGGGATTAATAGCCAGAGAATATAAGGAGCTCAAACTACTATGGGGAAAAAAACAACTAATAATCTGATTTAAAAATTGGCAAAAGATCTGAATAGACACTTCTGAAAAGAAGACATTCAAACGGAAAATAGGTCTATGAAAACAGATATTTCTCTGATCATCAGAGAAAAGCAAATCAAACCTACAATGAGATATCACCTCACCCCAGTTAAAATGGCTTTTATCTCAAACAAAGGCAATAACAAATGCTGACAAGGATGCAGAGGAAAAGGAAGCCTTGTACACTTTGTGGGGCTCAAGACTTCAGTGGAGAAAGTAGCTGCAGATGGGGTATAAATAACAAGAGAACTAGAATTAGAAGTGGTGCCTGAAGGTGAAACTAAATTGCTGCAATCTTATGATGAATCTTGAACGGATGCTTCTCATGAATAAGCAAGGAAAGCGGTTTCTTGAGTTGGAAACTACTGGTGAAAATGCTATGAACATCGTTGAAATGACAGCAATGGATTTAGAATATTCCATAAACTTAGTTGATAAAGCAGCAGCAGCGATTCAAAGGATTGATTCCAATTTTGAAAGAAGTTCTACTGTGAATAAAATGCTATCAAACAGCATCATATACTACAGAGAAATCTTTTGTGAAAAGAAAGGTCAATCAATGCTGCAAACTTCATTGTTGTCTTATTGTAAGAAATTGCCACAGCCCAAACTTCAGCACTTCAGCAACTACCACCTGTCAGTTAGCAGCCATCAGCACAGAGACAAGACCCTCCTTCATCAGCCAAAAGGTTACAATTCCTTGAAAGCTCAGATAATTGTTGGCATTTTTTAGCAATATTTTAAAACTACGGTAAAAACATTTTTTAGACATAATGCTATTACACATTTAATAGACTTCAGTATAGTGTAAACATAACTTTTATATATACTTAGAAACCAAAAAATTTGTATGATTTGCTTTATTTCAATATTTGCTTTATTGTGGTGGTCTCATACTGAACCCTCAATATCTCTGAGGTATGCCTGTACTTAGAACCAGAATTTTATATAACAATAATGCACTATTTGTAAAATATCCTCATTTTCTATAAAACCACATATTTGCTTACAGTTATAAAAAGAAAACAAGCTGGCATGCACATGGAAAAAGCTGCACAAGAAATATCTTCTGAAATCTACAATTTTAAATTTTATAAAAATAGATGAAATACTTATGCTTTGGTAGGCCAAAGCTCCCACTGTAACAACTTTTTTAATGGCATAAATTACCAAAATCATATGTTTGAATACACTGGTGATCTATACAAGTAACATGGACTCAATGAATTAAAATTCAAGAAACAGGCCTTCACAGGGGAGCCGATCACTGACTGAAGCCTTGCACCTTTGGCCTCCCAGTCAGAGACTGTCCACATGGATGATGCTACCAGCATTTTAATAACTCATCCTACCATTCTTTAGCTATATTTAGAGTTTAACATTTATGGAACAAAATGCAGAACTACATGTATTAAACAAAACAGAAAACTTACTGATATGATTTTCTAGTCCTGCTTCTAATTTCTTCAGCCACAATACAAGGTTTTCTTCAATTATAGCCTGGTCTGAAGGAAATGCAAATACTTGGCCACCTGAATGCAGATTCACCAAAACAAGAAGAGGAAGGGGAGGCAGAGGATCAAAATATGCCCTCAAGATTCCTCTCCCCACTGGAGTATTCTTTCTGCAAAAGGGAACAATTGAACATATTAATATTTCTTTCTACAACAAAATAATGAAAATAGTAATTCGTAGAACATTAAACTTTTAAGTAGTATCATGCCAGTAAGTTCACTTTATGAAAAGATGTCCTAAAAACCAAGAAGTCTACGACATGTTATTAGTAACCGGATTCTTTTAAAGTTTCTTTTTAACATGGGGCACTTTGTTTCACTTGGGAGAAAAGCGGCAGCCAATGACAATTTTAATGAAAAGCAGGCATAGCCCAAAGGCTTGTCAATTTAGGCTTGACGCAACCAGTAGTTTCCTTCCAACATTTGGCCAAGTATCTGATCATACATCAGCTCAAAAATTAAATGATTACATAACTAGAAGATAACAAGATACTTATTTTTATAAATACTTCTTTTCCATAGAATTGTGCCTTTTCTCAGGAAAAGGCATTAATTTCAAATTAAAGAAGTAGAAATAATTATGTTCATACAAGGAAACTCTAAGTTAAAGATACTTAGTTTTCCTAATGTAACACATTCTACAGTTTATAAAATACTATTTTACTCTTAGATACCTGTAATGATAATTGCCTGGGAAAATGTTGCCTCAAGCAGTAGAATGCACTGTTAAACTCTTCACAGCAAAAATGTACACTGCCCCATTTCTGTTATTTTTCAAATGATTTTAAAGAATAAATATGTCTTTCATCTGATGAATCTGAACAAGGGGCAGTATATTATTTGTGAATTTTGTTCACAGACATTAAATGTAACACAATCCATACATCTAGAAAACATACTAGGAAATATTGCTGATGAATGCACTGAAATCTGTCTGAACTTTAAAAATATAGAAGTACAGAAAAAGGAACTGAAGGAAAAGTCCAAAAATCACAATGTTTACTATTCTGTATTTGCCAAATTTTCTCAATGGGCATCAATTCCTTTTAAAAAGTAGAACAATTATTTCTTTTAAAATTTTACTGTAGAATAAAATTTAATCTAAAATAAGGTCATCTTGGACCTTGTTTGGGGGAGTTTTGTTACTAAAATATCATGGTGACATATTTGGTTCCATAAAATTAACTCCAAAGAGTTAGAGAGTTTCGTTTCCTAATGAAAATGTAATAATTATTACTTTCTTTACCTCTTACATATTAAAAAATAAACACATACTTACAGATTTAACCAGCATGGAGTAAATGAATCCAAGTATTTCTGCTTTACCAGTGTCAATATTGCTTTTTTATACTGAGGATTTACAGTGCCATCACTGAACAAAATCAATAATGGTTTCTGAAGTCTGAAATAACTGGGAAGATTTTCCACAGTGATTTCCGGCTGTCAAAGAAAAGGAATAACAACAATAAAAAATGCATTGGGGATGATAATGCATACCACAGAAGACATTCAAATCACTCAGTCAATTTTAGTTTGTAAAATGTAATTCAAACACATTTTCACTTAAGTAGAGATTTTACTATATTAATAACTATGAATCTCAATCGTCTTATTCAATCCCACCTCATCTGAATGAGTTATTTTCAAAATAAAACTACACAGAATTTGAGAATAAATTAATTTAAAGGAGTCCCCTGTTTTACAAGATGTAACACTTCTAATAATTTATTATGCTAAAGTCTGGACCAGACTAACCAATATACACATGACAATTGTTATATTTTTTCCTCTAACATAACAATTTTGAAGAAAACTGTAAGCTGAAAAAGTATTTTCTTTAACATCTATCATTACTTAATAAATATAAAATTTTACTTTTTCCAATATTATGGTTAAAATCATAATTAAAATAACCAAAAATATGCTAAAACAAATCCAAACACCAATCTTGTTTCTTTTGAGTTTAAAATAACTGAAAGAATTTAATATGAAATTAGAAATCTAATCCTTTTATCATTTTTATTACTAATTAAAAGATAGGAGGCTGGGAGTGATGGCTCACGCCTGTAATCCCAGCACTTTGGGAGGCCGACGCAGGCAGATCGCCTGAGGTCAGGAGTTCGAGACCAGCCTCACCAACATGGCAAAACCCTGTCTCTAATAAAAGTACAAAAATTAGCTGGGTATGGTGGTGCCCGCCTGTAATCCCAGCTACTCTGGAGGGTGAGGCAAGACAATCGCTTGAACCCAGGAGAGGGAGGTTGCAGTGAGCCGAGATTGTTCCACAGCACTTCAGCCTGAGCAACAGAGTGAGACTCTCAAAAAAAAAAAACCCAAAAAACAAAAACAAAAACAAGATAAGGAGGTAATCATTCTCCTGCAATTCGCCCATGCTATGCACATTAAAATAAAATTTTGTATGCCTTTCTCCTATTAATCTGCCTTTTTTCAGTTATTTTCATGGAACCTTCAGAGGACAAAGAGGAAGCTTTCTCTTGGCCACTGCACTCTTTTTATCTTAGAAATACTTCCTTTCTCCACTCACCTCCAACTCAAGGAAGGGCCTAAAATTCTATTATATTAATATTAGCAGTAATGACTGTCTATCCTCTCTCTCTTTCTATTCTCTCTTTCACACCTTTCTGTAATGGGGTAGACTTAAACAGTCACTTGATTACAAGTCAGAATCCCAGGTTCTGGATTCATGGAATTGTCACAGTAATAAAACTTTGAGCAAAGCACTCTGTACCCCAGTTTTTAAATCTGTGAAATGAGGGAATTGAAAGAAAAAAAATAAAAGAGAATAACCATTTTAAAATGTATTTGTAGAAGACAATTTGTCTACGCTGTCAGTAACAAGAATTGGAAAGTGCAACAACAATGCTAATATATTTAGGATTAAAAATAGCAATGACATAGAATAATAAAACCTTCTACCATTTTCAGTTCCACGTCCATTATTTCATCCTCTGGATACACCTGCGAGCTAGATATATCATCCTGTATCAGATAGATAACCCCCAGCTGACATATGGGGAAGCCAACACAGAGACTAACTTGCTTAAGTCACCACGGCTAAGCAGGGGGAAGGAGTGATGGTAGAATCCAGGCATTCTGCTCACCAGTTTCCCCTTTCTTTAGATCGCACTACAAATTCAGATGAACTTGTTTTTAATGGTGTCACCCACCTCTAAATATAGTCCTAGTTCATCCTGAAGTGCCAAATTCTGGCATATAACTTTCCCTTTTCAGTTCTCAGAGCAGCTTGCATTTGCCCATTCTCATTTTTCTTCTAATTATCTCTCTTTCACACTCAAAATCTCCTTCTTACACCTTCCTCTTTCATGGCTTAAATCTTAGATCACTTTTTCTCCAAATTCCCCTATGCTGTCTTCTTGTGTTAGCTTTCATCCTTTAATCTTGTAGTTGAGTTAGATCCCTCTCCTAAATATTGACAGATCTTTTATTGAACAAGCAGAAACATTAGGTGAGACAGAGTCACCACAGCTCAATTCAAACATTTATTGAGGACAAAGTTCAAGATGTTATGCTGGGTGCTGAATCTATAAAGAAATAAGATCCTTTCCTTGCCTTCAAAGAGTTCATACTTTAGAAGAGAAGACAGGTAAGTATACAGACTGCTATAATAAATAAAAAATTTAATGTATGACAATAAGAAAACTTATTGGTTCGAAATTAAACAAGCTAAAAACACAAGGTAGGTGTGATGGTTAATACTAAGTGTCAACTTGATTGGATTGAGGGATGTAAAGTATTGATCCTGGATGTGTCTATGAGGGTGTTGTCAAAGATTAACATTTGAGTCGGTGGGCTGGAAAAGGCAGACCCACCTTAATCTGGGTGGGCACCATCTAATCAGCTGCCAGCACAACTAGAAAAAAACATAAAGCAGACAGAAAAAAGTGTAAAGACTAGACTGGCCTAGTCTCCCAACCTACATCTTCTCCTGTGCTGGATGCTTCCTGCCCTCGAACATCAGACTCTTAAGTTCTTCAGTTTTGGGACTCGAACTGGCTTTCCTTTCTCCTCAGCTTGCAGATGGCCTATTGTGGGACCGTGTGATTTTTATTAGTTAAAACTTAATAAACTCCCTTTTATTATATCTATCCTATTAGTTCTGTCCGTCTAGAGAAACCTGACTAATACAGTAGGGGAGCTCATGGATGATTTTAGGAATTGATATTTGAGCTGGACCCTGGATAAAGAATAAGATCTTGACAGACTGAGGTGTGTGCTTGAGCAGGGATTTCAGACATAGGGAACATCATGAAGATAGGCAGAGAGCTATTAAAGCATACATAATATTTTGGAATAGTGATAATGAAGGATGCCAGAGTTAGGCATGCAAGAGGCAAATATGGCTGTGAGACCAGATGAGTAATGCCTTCATAAGTATTCTAGCTCCTGGGAATACTGAGAAGATTTCTGTATCAGATTGGTGACACAGTTAGGCCTGTTTTTCAAAAGATGACTAACTAGAATATAAATTTGTGAAAAGAAGGACCAGTGGAAGGACCCTACTCTTTCCTATGTCTAGTCAAAAGAGAAAGACCAAGAGATTTGTGAGTTTAGAAGGAAACTGAGTTCTAAAATTAAACACTCGGATTTAGGAATCATCAGCTGGTAGTGATGGTAGAAGTTATGGGTATGGATAAAATTTTCCAAAGAAAAGACATAGCAAAAGAAGAAAAAAAAAGAGTTGAAGATGTAATTCTAGGGAATAAATGAGACAGAGGATGGTCAGATGGACAAAAGAGGACTGAATTACAAAAGCCGGAAGAAAAGAGAATGTTGAGGAGGAATGGTATAGACAACAGTTTTGACTGCTACTGAGACACTAAGGAGAAACACAGTTAAGAGGTCATCAAATGTGGTACTTGGAAGGTGACCTTTGGCTCTCTGAGTATATAACAGACTATAACTGTGTGGGTCCTGGTGTTCTAAACTTGTCAATAATAAAAGCATAAAAAAGGAACTCAGTTTATCTGAGAAAAATACTAAACCCTATTTCCTAACAGGAAACAGTCTTAAATATATCAATGCTTATGTAGTTAATTATTGTGTATTTCAGATTTAAGCATTATTTATCTGGCCCAATTTGTCATCAGGTTCATTAAAATAAAAACTTCATACCATAATAAAAAATCTTCACCCTCTGGTCATCAACTCTCCTTCCTCATCCAGATGAAGGCACTAAAGTCTCTCTAAAGCCTATTTAATCTTTATTATAGCTGTTCAGTATTAAGTTGAACACCACAAATAAAAACATTGGAAACAAACTGTCACAATGCATATTACATTTGTTGTTACTGTAAACAGATTTTGATACTAAGTTTCTCCTACGTTTCTAAGGTTTAATGAATATAATCTTTAAAAAAATTAGAGACCAATTTTTATCCACTAAATATACCAAGATAAAAAGAGTAAAATGATACAAATCTTCTGTCAGGAAATACAAAAGTTATCAGAAGCCTCAAAAGTGGGCCTACTCTTTGGACAACCAATTCAAATTCTAGAAATTTAACCTAAATCCATAATCATAGATACACCCAAAGATTACCTAAAAGGATGTTCCCTGAATTATAAATAAAACAAAAACTAAAGACAGCTTAAACAACCATCAAGAGGAAATGGGCTAAATAAATTTTGGTACATTAGTAAACAATATTATGCAGATGTTAAAAATTAAAATGTGTATCTATAGTACTTGATGGAAATACATTAATATAAAAAGGCACACAGATACATACAGAATTTAGGTTTGGGGAAATGTATTTCCTAACGTAAACTTGGGTAGAAAAGTTATGGTTGATTATAATTTTCTTCTTTATCCTTTCTGTATTACCTGAAAAAGCCAAACAAAGGCTTCTAGTAATTCCAAAAATACTACACTATGTATATGCTAAAGGAATTACTTAATAACATGTCATTAATAACATAAATGTTACTTTAATAAGTAATTTAGAAACATACATCATGAACATATCAATTCAATGATTTGATTATTTATAACCTATAATTTTAACAGGAGGAAAGGACAGAACCAAGACACAAAAAGACTTAATAAAGACTGCAGTCCCTTAGTTGAGCCCAAAATGTAATGTCCTTTAGATCATCAAGACAAAAAACCTAACAGGATATTCATTTAGCATCTATAGCTAATAAAAATGCTCCTTGAGTCACTTCAGAAATGTAGAAAAGTATAAATTCTAGCTATGTTTAATATGAAAGCAAACAACTAAAATCAGGTAACACAGGTTACATTTGTTGTGCCCTTGAATCCACTATTATACAGTCATGCATCGCATGATGTTTCAGTCAACAATGGAGTACATGTAAGATGGTGGTCCCATAAGATTATACCATGTTTTTACTGTACCTTTTCTATGTTTAGATTCACAAATATTTACCATTGTTACAAGAGCCTACAGTATTTAGTAAAGTAACATGCTGTACAGGTTTGTAGCCTAGGAGCAATATGCTATACCTTACAGCGTAGGTACGTAGTAGGCTATACCACCTAGATTTCTGTAAGTACACTCTATATAAAGTTTGTATGATAAAACTGCCTATCGATGCATTTCTCAGAAGATATCCTCGTTAAGTGATGCATGACTGTAAAAGTAAAACATAAGAAAAAGCCTTTCATAAGACAATATTTTTTTCTAAAACTGTACAAATAGGAGAGTGAAGCAAGATGGCAGACTAGAGTACTCTACCAGTCATCCCCTCTTCCCCTGCAATGACTACTGCAATTTAACAACTATCTACACAAAAAAGCACCTTCATAAGAACCAAAAATCAGGTGAGTACTCACAGTACCTGGTTTTAACTTTATATCGCTCAAAGAGGCACTGAAGAGGTAGGAAAAACAGTCTTGAATCATCAATGATACCCTTCTCCCATCCCCTGGCAGTGGCCACACTGCATGAAGAGAGAATCTATGTGTTTGGGAGAGGGAGAGCACAGCAATTGTGAGACTCTGCATTGAACTCAGTGCTGCCCTGTTTTAACAGCAGGCAAAACCAGACTGAACTCAGTGCATGCTCGCCCACAGTGGGTGTATTTAAACCATCTCTAGCCAGAGCAGAAATGCCCATCCTAGAAGTCAGAACTTGAATTACAGCAAGACTTGTCACCTCAGGCTGGAGTGTGCTGGGGCCCAAATAAACTTGAAAGGCAGTCTAGGCAACAAAGGCTGCAACTCCTAGGTGAGTCCTAGGGCTGAACTGGGCTCAGAGCCAGCAGACTATAGGCACACATGACCTACTGAGATACCAGCCAGGACAGCTAGGGGAGTGCTGATGCCACCTCTCCCCTAATCCCAGGCTGCACAGCTTGTAGCTCCAAAAGAGACCCCTTCCTTCTGCTTAAGGAGAAGAAAGGAAAGACTGGGAAAGACTTTGTCTTGCATCTTGGATACCAGCTCAGCCACAGGAGGACAGGGCCCTGGTCAGAGTTGTGAAGCTCCCTTTCCAGGTCCCAGCTCTTGGATGACATTTCTAGATACACCCTGGGCCAGAAGGGAAACTGCTACCTCTATGGGAAAGACCTAGTCCTGGCAGCATTTATCAACTGCTAAGTGAAGAGCCCTTGGGCCTAGGTAGTACATTGTAGGACTTGAGTGAGACTCCGAGACTTGCTGACTTCAGGTGAGACTAAGCACATTCTTAGCTGTGGTGGCTATGGGGTGAGACTCCTTCTGCTTGAGAAAAGTAGAGGGAAAAGTAAAGGGGACTTTGTCTTGCACCATAGGTACCAGCTCTGCCAGAGAAGGGTAGAACACCAAGCGGGTTTTGGGGGGGCCACAATTCTAGGCCTTGGCTCTTGGATGGCATTTCTGGACCTTACCTGGGCCAGAGGCAAGCCCACTATCCTGAAGCATGAGTCCCAGGCCAGAAAGCATTCACTACAAGCTGATGGAAGAGCCCTTGGGCCTTAAGAGAACATGAGCAGTAGCCTGCCAGTACTCCCTGTGGGCCTGTGGTAGCAGTGGCCATGGGGTGAGGCTCCTCTATCTGGTCCTGGAGGAATTCACCATCCTAAAGGGAAGAACACAGGCCCAGCTGGCTTAGCCACCTCTGATTTTAGAGCCCCAGGGCCTTAAGTGAACATAGGCAGTAGCCAGGGAGTGGTTACAGCAAGTGTTGGGAGAGACCCAGTACTGTGCTGGCTTCATGTCTGACACAGCACAGTGCCAGTGGTGGTGGCCCCTGAGGGTGGTTGCGTCACTCCACCCCCAGCCCCAGGTGGCTCAGAACAGAGAGACGGACTCCATTTGTTTGGGAGAAAGTAAGAGAAGAGAACACCTTTAACGCCCAGACACAGACAAACATCCAACAGTATCAACAGTGTCCTGGAAAAGATGACCTCACCAAATGAACCAAATAAGACACCAGAGACCAATCCTGGAGAAACAGAGCTATGTGTCCTTTCAGACAGAGAAATCAAAAGAGCTGCTTAGAGAAAACTCAAAGAAATTCAAGATAACACAGGGAAGGAATTCAGAATTCTACCAGATAAATTTAAGAAACAGAAATAATTAAAAAGAATCCAGCAGAAATTCTGGAGCTCAAAAATGCAACTAAACTAACATATGTAGAATACATCAGAGTCCTTTAAGAGCAGAAATGATCAAGCAGAAGAAAGAATTACTGAGCTTGAAGACAGGCTATTCATAAACAGTCAGAGGAAACAAAAGAAAAATGAAAAAAAAAAACAATGAAGCAGGCCTACTAGGATCTAGAAAATAGCCTCAAAAGGACAAATCTAAGAGTTACTGGCCTTAAAGAGGAGATAGAGAAAGAGATAGGGATAGAGTGTATTCAAAAGATAGTAACAGAGAATTTCCCAAACTTAGAAAAAGATATCAATATCCAAGCACAAGGTTATAAAACACTATGCAGATTTAACCCAAAGAAGATTACTTCAAGGCATAATCAAACTCCCAAAGGTCAAGGATTTAAAAAAAAGGATCCTAAAAGCAAGAGAAAAGAAATACAACACACAATGTAGCTCCAATACACCTAGCAGCTGACTTTTCAGTGGAAACCTTACAGGACAATAACATGACATATTTAAAGTGCTAAATTAAAAAAAAAAACTTTTTACCCTAGAATAGTATAACTGGTGAAAATATCCTTCAAATATGAAGGAGAAATAAAAACTTCCCCAGACAAACAAAATCTGAGGAATTTCATCAACACCGGATCTGTCCTACAAGAAATGCTAAAGAGAATGCTTCAATCAGGAAGAAAAGGACACTAATGAGCAATAAAAATTCATCTAAAAGTACAAAACTCATTGCTAATGGTAAGTACACTGTAAAACACAGAATATAATGCTTAACTGTGCTGTGTAACCTACTCTTAAGTAGAAAGACTAAACAATGGACCAATCAAAAATAATAACCACAACAATTTTTCAAGACACAGATGGTACAATAAGATATAAATAGAAGCAATAAAAAGTTAAAAAGCAGGAGATGAAGTTAAACTAGAGTTTAACTTGACAGAGTGTAGAGTTTTTATTAGTTTTCCTTTGCTTGTTCGTTTATGCAAACAGTGTTAAGTTGTTATTGGCTTAAAATAACAAGTTATAAGGTAGTATTTACAAGCATCATGGTAACTTCAAATCAAAAAACAAAACAAATACACACAAAAAAATTTTAAAAAAATTAAATCATATCACCAGAGAAAATCACCTTCACTAAAAAGATGACAGGAAGGAAGACCACAAAACAACCAAAGAACAAATAACAAAATGGCAGGAGTAAGTCCTTACTTATCAATAATAACATTAAATATAAACAGACTAAACTCTCCAGTCAAAAGACACAGAATGGCTGAAGAGATTAAAAAAAAATAATAAGATCCCATGATCAGTTGCCTAAAAGAAACACACTTCACCTATAATGATATACAAAGACTGAAAATAAAAGGATGGAAAAAGATAATCCATGCCAATGGAAACCAAAAAGAGCAGGAGTCGTTATACTGATATCAGACAAAATAGATTTCAAGACAAAAACTGTAAGAAGAGACAAATAAGGTCACTATACAATGATAAAGGGGTCAATATAGCAAGAAGATATAACAATTGTAAATATATATGCACCCAACACTGGAGCACCCAGGTATATAAAGCAAATATTATTAGGGCCAAAGATAGAGATAAACTCCAACACAATAACAGCTGAAGATTTCAACAACCCACTTTCAGCAATGGACAAATCTTCTTGACAGGAAATCCGCAAAGAAACCTCAGATTTAATCTGCACTACAGACAAAATGGGCCTAATAGATATTTACAGAACATCTCATTCAATGGCTGCAGATACACATTCTTCTCCTGAGCATATGGATCATTGTCAAGGATAGACTTTAGGTTAAGTCATAAAACAAGCCTTATAACATTTAAACAAAAAATCTGAAATAATATCAAGCATCTTCTCTCACCACAATGGAATAAAACTAGAAATCAATAACAAGAGCAATTTTGGAAACTATACAAACACATGGAAATTAAACAATATGCTCCTGAATGACCAGTGGGGTCAATGAAGAAATTAAAAAAGAAATTTTAAAATTTCTTGGAAAAAAACCATACCCAAACCCTTGGGATACACTGAAAGCAGTACTAAAAGGAAAGTTTATAGCAATGAGCACCTACATCAAAAAGTGGAAAAACTTCAAAGAAACAACCCAATGATACACCTAAAGAACTAGAAAAGCAAGAGCAAACCAAACCCAAAATTAGCAGAAGAAAAGAAATAATAAAGATCAGGGCAGAAATAAATGAAATTGAAATGAAGAGAACAATACAAAACATCCAGGAAACAAGTTGGTTTTCCGAAAAGTTAAACAAAATTGACAAACCCTTAGTCAGACTAGCTAGGAAACAAAGAGAGAAGACCCAAATAAAATCAGAGATGAAAAAGGAGACATTACAATTGATATAGCAGAAATTCAAAAGGTCATTAGTAGCTACTATGAGCAACTATATGCCAATAAATTGGAAAATTTAGAAGAAATGGACAAATTCTTAGACACATACAACCAACCAAGATTGAACCATGAAGAAATTCAAAACCTAAATGGACCAATAACAAACAAGGAGATTGAAGCTATAATACAAAGGCTTCCAGAAAAAAAAAAAAAAGCCAAAGCTCGGGACCCAATGGCTTCACTGCTGAATTATACTAAACATTTAAAGAACTAATACCAATTATCAGGGAAATACAAATCAAAACCGCAATGCAATTCCACCTTACTCCTGCAAGAATGGCCATAATTTAAAAAAATAACAGATGTTGGCATGGATGTGGTGAAAAGGGAACACTTTTACACTGCTGGTGGGAATGTAAACTAGTACAACCACTATGGAAAACAGTTGGAGATTCCTTAAAGAACTAAAAGTGTATCTACCATTTGATCAAGCAATCTCACTACTGGTGCACACACGTTTATAGTAGCACAATTTGCAATTGCAAAAATACAGAACCAGCCCAAACGCCCATGAATCAACAAGTGGATAAGAAAATGTGTTTTATATATATATATATATATATATATATACACACACACACACATACATATATATATGTATACATACACACACATTGTGGAATACTACTCAGCCATAAAAGGAAAGAAATAATGGCATTCAAAGCAACCTGGATGGAGCTGGAGACCATTATTCTAAGTAAAGTAACTCAAGAATGGAAAATCAAACATCATATGTTTCTAAGTGTAAGCTAAGCTATGAGGACACAAAAGCATAAGAATGAAATAATGGGCATTGGGGGCTTGAGGGGAAGGGTAAAAGGAGGGTGATGGGATAAAAGACTATACATTGGGTACAGTGCATAATGCTCAGGTGATGGGTGCAGAAATCACCACTAAAGAACTTACCCATGTAACCAAATCCCACTTGTTCCCCAATAACCTATTGAAATTTAAAAAAAAAAAAAACATGAATACTAATCCTACTCAAACTATCCTGGAAAATAGAGGAGAAAGGAGTAATTCCAAACTCATTCTACAAAGCCAGTATTACCCTGGTATAAAAACCAGACAAAGGCATATCAAGAAAACAACAGGCCAATATCATTGATGAATATCAATTGATGCAAAAATCCTCAACAAAATATTAGCAAACCAATTCAACAATACATTAAAAAGATCATTGATCATGTCCATGTATGATTTACCCCAAGGATGCGAGGATGGTTCAACATACACAAATCAATCAATGTGATACATTATATCAACACAATAAAGGACAAAAACCATATGATCATTTCAACTGATGCTGAATAGCATTTGATAAAACTCAACATCCCTTCATTAAAAAAACCCTCAAAAAACTGGGTACAGAAGGAATATACCTCAACATAACAAAGCCATATATGCCATAGCCACAGCTAGTGTCATTCTGAATGGGGAAAAAGTCTTTTCTCTAAGATCTGGAACGTGACAAGGATACCCACTGTCATGACTATTATTCAACATAGTACTGGAAGTCCTAGCTAGGGCAATCAAACAAGACAAAGAAATAATAGGCATCCAAATTGGAAGGGAAGAAGTCAACTTATCTTTGTTTGCAGATGATATAATCCTATATTTGGAAAAACTAAAGACTCCATCGAAAAACTATTCAAGCTGATAAACAAATTCAGTAAAGTTGCAAGACAAATCAAAATACAAAAATCAGCAGCATTTTTATATGCCAACAGTGAACAATCTGAAAAAGAAATCAAGAAAGTAATCCTATTTACAATAGCCACAAGTAAAATTAAATACCCAGGAATTAACTAAAGAAGTGAAAGATCTCTACGATGAAAACTATAATACATTGATGTAAGAAACTGAACTGAACACACAAAAATAGAAAGATGTCCCATGTTGATGGACTGGAAGAATCACTGTTGTTAAAATGTTCTTAATACCCAAAATAACTACAGATTTAATGCAAGCCCTATCAAAATACCAATGATATTCTTCACAGAAATAGAAAAAATAATTCTAACATTTATATGGATTCACAAAAGACCCAGAATAGCCAAAGCTATTCCTAAGCAAAAAAAGAACAAAACTGGAGGAATCACATTACCTGACATCAAATTATACTATAGAGCTATAGTAACCAAAGTGACATGGTACTGGCATAAAAACAGGCACATAGACCAATGGAACAGAATACAGAATGCAGAAATAAATCTGTACATCTACAGTGAATTCGTTTTCGACAAAGGTTCCAAGAACATACATTGGGGAAAGAATAATTTCTTCAATAAATGGTGCTGGGAAAATTGGATATCCATAGGCAGAATGAAACTAGGCCCCTATCTCTCATCATATACAAAAATCAATTCAAAATGGATTCCAGACGTAAATCTAAGACCTTAAACTATGAAACTACTACAAGAAAACACTGGGGAAACTCTACAGGACACTAGACTGGGCAAAGACTTCTTGAGCAATATTATCCCACAGGCACAGGCAACCACAGCAAAAATGACAAATGGGATCACATCAAGACAAAATGGTCCTGCACAGCAAAGGACACAATCAACAAAGTGGAGAGAGAGCCCACAGAATGGGAGAAAATATCTGCAAACTACCCATCTGACAAGGGATTAATAACCAGAATATATAAAGAACTGATACAACTCTGTATCAGTAGGAAAAAATCTGATTTAAAAAATGGGCAAAAGATCTGAATAGACATTTCTCAAAAAAATACATACAAACAGCAAACAGGTACATGAAAAGGTGCTCAACATCATTGATCATCAGAGAAATGCAAATCAAAACTACAATTAGGTATTATTCCATTCCAGTTAAAATGGCTTTTATCCAAAAGGCAATAACAAATGCTGGTGAGGATGTGGAGAAAAGGGACCCCTCGTATACTCTCAGTGGGAATGTAAATTAGTGCAACCACTATGGAGAACAGTTTGGAGGCTCCTCAAAAAACTAAAAATAGACATATCTTACCATTCAGCAATGTGACTCCTGAGTACATTCCCAAAAGAATATCAGTATACCAAAGAGATATCTGCACTCGCAGATTTATTGTAGCACTATTCATAACAGCCAAGATTTGGAAGCAACCTCAGGGTCCATCAACAGATGAATGAATAAAGAAAATATGGTACATACACACAATGAAATACTATTCCGTCATAAAAAAAAGAATGAGATTCTGTCATTTTTAACAACATGAATGGAACTGGAGGTCATGATGTTAAATTAGATAAGCCAGGCACAGAAAGACAAAAAGCACATGTTCTCACTTATCTGTGGGAGCTAAAACTTAAAACAATTGAACTCATGGAGATAGAGAAAAGGATGGTTACCAGAAGCTGGGAAGGGTAGTGGAAGAGGACTATTGAAAAAACTGGATATCCATATGCTGAATGAAACTAGACTGCTATCTTTCACCATATACAAAACCCAGTACAGCCTCTGGTTGTACTAATTTACATTCCCACCAAGAGTGTACAAGAGGTCTCTTTTCTCCACATCCTCACCAGCATTTGCTACTGCCTATCTTTTGGATAAAAAAAGCCTTTTTAACTGGAAATGGTGGGGAGGGGGGAAGTAGGGATGGTTAATGGGTACAAAAACTAGTTTGAAAGAATAAAGAAGACCTAGTATTTGCCAGTATAACAGGGTGATATAGTAAAAAATAATTTAATTGTTCATTTAAAAATAACTAAATGAGTAAATTGGATTGTTTGAAACACAAAGGGTAAACACTTGAGGTAATGGATACCCTATTTACTCTGATGTGACTACTATGCATTGCATGTTTGTATCAAAATACCTCATGTGGCCAGGTGCAGTGGCTCATGCTGTAATCTCAGCACTTTGGGAGGCCAAGGCAGGAGGATCACTTGAGCTCAGGAGTTCGAGACCAGCCTGGGCAACATGGTGAAACCCTGTCTCTACAAAAAAATACCAAAATTATCCGATGTGGTGGCACATGCCTGTAGTCCTGGCTACTTGGGAAGCTGAAGCAAGAGAATCACTTGAGACCGGCAGGCGGAGGTTGCAGTGAGCCGAGATCACATCATTGCACTACAGCCTGGGTGACGGAAGTGAAACTCTGTCTAAAAAAAAAAAAAAAACAAAAGCTCATGTAACCCATAAATATATTCATCTACTATGTACCCAGAAAAATTAGAAATTAAAAACTTTTTTTAAACCAGGCTGGGCACGGTGGCTTATGCCTGTAATCCCAGTACTTTGGGAGGCCGAGGCAGGCGGATCACTTGAGGTCAGGAGTTCGAGACCAGCCTGGCCAACATGGTGAAACCTTGTGTCTACTAAAAATACAAAAAAAAAAAAAAAAAAAAGCCAGGTGTAGTAGTGAGCGCCTGTAATCCCAGCTACTTGGGAGGCTGAGGCAGGAGAATTGCTTGAACCCGGGAGGCGGAGGTTGCAGAGAGCTGAGATCACAGCAACAGAGTGAGACCCATCTCAAAAACAAAACAAAAAAACCCATATAAGTAATAAGAATAGTAACTAACATTTGTTGGATGCTTACCATGGACTAAATAATATACACAAAGCACTATCAAATCATGTCTCATTCAGTCCTCACAATAACTGTCTGCAGCAGATGCTACTATGAGCTACATTTTATGCATGCAGAAACCGAAGAACAGAGAAGTTAACCTATGTCAGTAAGAAATCAACCAATGATTTGAAGCTGGGCAGGCTGACCTTCCAGAATGGACATGCTTTATAACAAGTTTCACCCTGGATTAAGCACGTGAACTGAACTTCGGCCACACTAGTCTCAGCAAGATGTAAACTTTTAGCAGTGGACTCAAAATGCTGTATGCATAATGACTGAACAATAAAACAGAACAATCCAGTAAATCCTCAGCTCACAAATCACCCTGCCCTGTACCAGCAAAAAATGGAAAAATGTGTATGAACATATACTACCTTTGACTGATCTAGATTTTATTTCAAGTATCACCCTTATTATAAAACATACTCACAAACATTTCCAGTAGTGCATCTGTTATTATTTGAACTATGTCTTGTGCATGTGTGCTAGCTAGTGGGATGCTCTCTATTTTGCCTTCTGTGTGTCTGGCAAGCAGCAGGGCTGGAAGACTTGCAGCATATTTGGTTGACCTATGGAGAAAGGCAGTATTAAAATTCACGATCAAAATCTAGCATGTCAAAAACATGAAAATCTAGGCTAGGAGGTCACAGTGTGAGGCAGCAAATGGGAATTCCTACTGCTAAGGAAAAAAATGAACTCCATTTCCAGGCAAACTTATCTTCTATGACAACCTACATTAAAAGAAAGAAACAGGTAATGATCTATAACAAACTAGATTTTTAAAAAGCAACAAGGCAGTAATCTAGCCATATTTTTTTCTATACAACTTACTCAACAAGAAAATAAATCAGATTTGGAACACAGTGAATGGTTCTCGACCTTTCTGGACTTGCTCACCACAATGCTGAGTAAGAAAATGGGCATTTATGAGAAACCTACTATCTGCCAGGCACTATACTAGGTATTTCAATTATGTTTTTATTTAACTTTCAGAATGAAAGTGGCCATTATGACCTCATTTTGCAGATTAAGAAATAGGACTGAGAGAGTGATAAATGGCAGACACAGACTTCAAATGAGGTGTCCCTGACACAGTCTGTTCCTGACATAGTCTGTACTCTCTCCACTGAAACAAGAGCCCAAATCCACCCTCCCACAATCCCTTTCGCTAACTAAACCTAAAAGAAAATTATCTAAATAGAAGAAAGCTTTGTGTAAAATTACTAGTGAAGTAGTCATGTATAATAACTTAATTCATGCCAGAACAAAGTATAGACATTATAACAACATAAGCATTAGTTGAGAGGCCAGTTTTCAGGTCACTTAAAGGAACCTCTTAGTTGACCAGTTGGTTATAAACAAAACACACTCTGAAAACTACTGGTCTAGCTCTTTGGACCACAGCTAGACGCACAATGACAGCAGAGTAGAAGATCATGGGTGATTACCCATTGTCAGATGGACAGTCCTCATATTTCCTTCTTTAATATATACTTTATGAAAATCAGTGATTTCACAAATAGAACAAAAGCCTGATCACCAAGAGCATATGTCACCAGTGTTCAAGATGAAAGATTTAAGCTTAGAAATCACAATTAGGAATTTATAGTCAGAAGCTAAGAAAGACAAACTACTGGGGCTTAGTAAGTACACCTATACCTGAAAATGGGCCATAGAGAATGTGATATGTATTAATAATAATCTCCAAATTTGCAGTTCAGTCCTTCATTCTATAGCAACTAAAATATTTTGGTAGTCCATAGAAGTCCCACCTTCTACAGATAAGGTAATTTAAGAAGCTAAAAAAGCACTGATTTTTATACACACACGTACCCACTCACCCACCCAGGGGGTAAATAAAACCTCAGATGCTCAAAAAGAAAAATTTATCCCAAACTATGATAACTCCAAAGAACCACATTGTAGGTAATAGAACCCAAAGAGGAAAATTTTTATAGGAGGATGGTGAAGTACGAATCCAAGACTGCCCCATGGGGTCTTTGGTCTAAAATAAAAGAATAGCTAAAGAATCTAAAGTATTTCCCAGGTACTTTATTTCCTAGAAGGAAATAAAAAAAATTTCTTTAGATTGCTACCTTATTTTCCTCCATCAGCTGTGTAAATATAAGCAATTATTAGATAACATTATTTTGCATAATTTCTCCCTCCCTAAAATTAAAAGAGCAATAAACTTACAGTAGCAAAACATCTTCTTCAGAATAAATTCCAGTGATAACATATCCTTTTAGGTAGTTTCCTGCTTCACTAAAATCTTCTTTTGCTATAAATACATAGAGAAGACAAAAATCTGAAACCTTTATAATTATGTATGCTATTCAACTGATGAAGAGATTTATAGGTGGTAGTATTTCATTATTAATTAATTACAAAAATATTTAAGTGCAGATGTCTTATATAATTTAGTGGTTCCAAAATAAATCTGTATTCTCTTTATGACATGGGATTACTAAAGAAATGTCAATTGATATAATGCAACATGGCTTCCAAAACAAATGTACTCTAAATGTAATTCATAAGCTTTATAGCACTCTAATCATAATTACTGAATAAATACTTTTTGCCTTTTAATTTACTCCTATGGCAGAGTAAATGGAGACAGCTGTCTTATGTGTAGCCTGAAAAGAGAAGTAGGTATGTGAAATGATATGCACATTATAACCATAAAATCTGAAAGTATCTATATGCATAAAAAATAGCAGACTGAAAATTCTAGCCCTCTAACAGTGTCTGTGTTAGGGTTGTGCAAGTAGAAGGGATTCTGTGTCTTTTAAAAAACAATTCCTACATTTTCTCTAATGTGTTTTCATTAGTTTTGAACTTTGATTAATTTGTATTGTCTTTTCTCATTTGTTAGGATACACATATTCAAAATACAAGCTATTTCTACAAATTTCTGAATACATTTTCATTAATAATAGCATACTGTGGATCTTGTTAATAATGACTATCCTATAACCAAGAAGCAAGTCTGAATTAAATCATTGTAGACTAATGAGAAAAGCACAGAGGTGGACTTATAGGTCAAATTCTTGCCAAGTGAAGGCCAAATGATAATTCAATTCATACATGAAAGATTCACAGCAGTCAAACAGAAAAACACTCATGGAAGAATGAGTCACATAGTACCTACTAGGCTAGGCATGCTGAACCCAAAGATCTGTACCTCAGCAGTCAGCACTACATTCATGATGTAAGCATTCAACATTGTCAACATTGGGTAACCACAAGATTATTTTCTTTAAAAAGGGTACATACTTTCCCTAAGATTGAGCAATACTGTCTGTAGGAAAGCAAACTTACTAGAGTAGCTCAGTAGGCAGCATGGGGAGCTCATTTACAATCACAGATTTAATGAGACAACTGGCCAGGTGCGGTAGCTCACGCCTGTAATCCCAGCACTTTGGGAGGCGAGGTGGGTGGATCACTTGAGGACAGGAGTTTGAGATTAGCCTGGCCAACATGGTGAAACCCCATCTCTACTAAAATACAAAAATTAGCTGGGCATGGTGGCATGTGCCTGTAGTCCCAGCTACTCAGGAGGCTGAGGCATGAGAATCGCTTGAATTTGGGAGAAGGAGATTGCACTGAGCTGAGATCATGCCAGCCTGGGCCACAGAGCGAGACTCTGTCTCAAAAAAAATAAAAAGAGAGACGAGAGACAGAGAGAAAATTTATTAAAATATTTTTTTAGCCCATGCTACATCAAAGTAGAAAAGACACATGAGATTATAAACTAGAAAGGACTGTGTGTCTGTACTTTCATTTCTAAGAGTGAACAGAGTGAAATTCCAGTCAATGGATAAACTATATCTAAAGCAATGACATAACAGAATCTGTTTCAGCTTCTTTTCATTTTAGGTAAGTAGCAATAGAAAAGTACACCATTATTTCCATATAATTTCCTCATACAAAAGACTCTCTACTTATGAATATGTCTCTTAAAAAGTCTCTTCGTAAATCCATGTGTTTGTAAATCCTAAGTGACTCACAGGATGGGAAAATATATGACTGTAGATCTCAGATGCATATCCATTTCCACTAAACTAGAATACATATTTTCCTCTGAACATTCAAAACCAGGCATATTCTCCTCCTTGGTAAAAACTGTATATATGCCAAAATATATGGCAACCTCAAATACAAGAAAGTACTCAATTATCTGAATAAAAATATGCACAAAAAGCTTTTCAGCTACTATAAATATATTTTAATTGCATAAAATAAACATATTTATTTAGCAATATTATTTTTTCTACTATCACATCTTATTGAATAATTATTTTTATAGACACACACACATACATACATCTGTTTTTTAGCTCTGTCAGCAGGGAGAGCTGAGAAGCAAGAAAACCCCAGTAACTAAAAGCACTCCTAACCCCTATATTATACAAACTAGAAAACCTGAAAGAGATGGATAAACTCCTGGACACATACACACTACCAAGACTGAACCAGGAAGAAATTGATTCCCTGAACAGACCAGTAACAAGTTCTGAACTTGAATCAGTAATAAATAGCCTACCAACCAAAAAAAGCCCAGGACCTGATGGATTCACAGCCAAATTCTACCAGACATACAAAGAAGAGCTGATACCATTCCTATTGAAACTATTCCCAAAAATTAAGGAGGCGGGACTCCTCCCCAGCTCATTCTATGAAGCCAGCATCATCCTGATACCATAACCTGGCAGAGACACAACAAAAGAAGAAAATTTCAGGCCAGTATTCCTGATCAACATTGAAAATCCTCAACAAAGTATGCAAACTAAATCCAGTAGCACATCAAAAAGCTAATCTACCACAATCAAGTAGGCTTCATCCCTGGGATGCAAGGTTAGTTCAACATATGCAAATCAATAAATGTGATTTATCTCATAAACAGAACTAAAGACAAAAATCACATGATTATCTCAGTAGATGTAGAAAAGGCCTTCAATAAAATACCCCTTCATGTTAAAAACTCTCAATATACTAGGTACTGAAGAAACACACCTCAATAAGAGCCATCTATGACAAACCCACAGTCAACATCATACTGAATGGGCAAACGTTGGAAGTAATCCCCTTGAAAACTGGCACAAGACAAGGACACCCTCTTTCACCACTCTTACCCAATGCAGTCTTGGAAGTCCTAGCTGGAGAAATCAGGCAAGAGAAAGAAAAAAAGAGCATCCAGGCTGGGCACAGTGGCTCACTCCTGTAATCTCAGCACTTTGGGAGGCCGAGGTGGGAGGATAACGTGAGCTCAGGAGTTTGAGACCAGCCTGGGTAACACGGCTAAACCCCATCTCTACTAAAAATGCAAAAATTAGATCTCTGCAAGGAGAATTATAAAACACTGTTCAAAGAAATCAGAGAAAACACAAACAAATAGAAAAACATCCCAAGCTCATGAATGGGAAAAAACAATATCATTAAAATGGCCATACTGCCCAAAGCAATCTATAGATTCAATGCTATTCCTATCAAACTACCAATGATATTTTTCACAGAACTAGAAAAAAAGTATTTCAAAAATCGTATGAAAGTCAAAGAAGGTTGAACATTATCTTCTGACAATGTTTTTCATGTAATTTTCCATAATAAATTAACCTGTTCATTATCTCTCTTTTGGATGTTGCAGGGGCCCTCTGTAACATTTGAAAGTTACTTTGAGGTCAAAAAGACTTAATTTTGAACTTGATTTTGGGAAGCCTATTAAATATGTCAAAAGTTTAAAACACTTATCAAAATAGATCACAGGTCACTGTAAAATAAATCATTTATTTAGCCAAAGTGATAATTAAGAGGTTTTAAAAAGCAAAGACCTTTATTTGTTGATTAAAAAAGGACTCAGAATATGTCTATAGAATATGTCTCTTCTTTCTCCCTTTTTTGAGAGTTTATTCAAAACGTGAATGAAAGTGTTTTATTGTGTCTTATTAGTATTACATGAAATTTATGTGCAAAAGAGAAAACTAAATTTGTATTCTTTTATTAGTGTATTATCAATTCTAAAGCTGATTTTAATAAAAACTTATATACAAATCTCATTTCAGTCAGCTTTTAATCACACAAGATTTTAAAATAAACTTTGTAATCTCATAACAATTTTGAAGTTTTCTAACTTTCTACAATTTATTTAGTTTTATCTATATCTTTTAGTTCTTTTAATTTGAAACAATCTTTAAATAACTTCTTTTTTTCTCACATTTTTATGCCTTTATAACTTTCCTCACCAAAAATATATCTTGCTTTTTTAATAGACTCTTTATTTAGAATTCTCTTACATTTAGTAGTTTTAATTATATTATGTTAGCTATAATTTTGACTCTTAGTAACCCAAATTTCTAGTAAAAACCTAGAAATTAATTTTGAACTGTTTTATATCAATATTTGTAGATGAAAATCATTTATAATTTTTAGATATTTTAATTTTATTAACAAATCTAAATATATTTAGCTTTTTTATATCATGTAAAAATAAGATGTCAAAGTACATAAACAAACATATGTTTGATAATTAATTTTAGTATTTTAACTTATTTAGGAATGACTCAGACATTTTATTATTATTTAACATGACTTAAAGATTTTTAATTATTGGAAAATAAATTATGACACAGGTACCCTCCTTAATGTCTTTCTCAGTTGTCCTTAGTCCTGAGTACCCATGTGGCACCTGATGCCTATAAAAGGCAGGGCTCTTTTGGGTCCTAAATTTACATACCAGATGTCAGGACAGAAGACAGAGCTGTGAAGAGGATGTCTGGTGGATCTGACCACTCCCAGCATGGCCATGAGGCAAATCTGGGCCAAGCAAGGAGGAACAAGGGGCCCTGCAGCAGGTGGCCTAAGCATTGACGACATGCCTCCAGGCCTTACCATGGCCACCTGTCCAGACCCCAGAATCTTGAAGCTCAAAACCAAAGACCAGCTTATAGTAAGATGTGTGCAAAGCTCTAGGGAAGCTCAACAGCCAGCTTTAGCCCACAGACAAATCAAGCAAGTGCCAAAAATATTATAGAAAATTAGCAGTTTTATGACCTTAAAACATGTAAAGACAGCATAAACCTGTCTGACCAGTAGATCCAGGCAAAAATATCTGAATTATATTTAAGTTACACTCTTGAAGCCATTTTTATTTTACTTTGTTAACAACTTTGAAACTAGATTTACCAAATATCACACATACATAACACATATAGACATAGAGACATCCAGACAGAAGCAGATTTTATGGCTTTTATACAAAATTTTCATTTGCTGGCTTTTAAATGGTTTCTCTTTTATTTTTTTAAACCTATAGTCAGCAAGTTCTTTATATTTTTGTTTATATTTTTTTTTAGAGACACAGTCTTCCTGTGTAGCCTAGGCTGGTCTTGAACTCTTAGCCTCAAACATTCCCCCCACCTCAGCTTCCTGAGTAGCTGGGATTAGACAGACTCTCACTCCATCATCCAGACTGAGTGCAGTGGCACAATCTTGGCTCATTGCAATCTCCGCCTCCTGGGTTGAAGCAATTCTTATGCCTCAGCCTCCCAAATAGCTGGAATTACAGGCACATGCCACCATGCCTGGCTAATTTTTGTATTTTTAGTAGAGACAGGGTTTCACCATGTTGCCCAGCCTGGCTGGTGTTAAAAACTCCTGACCTCAAGTGATCTGCCTGCCTCGGCCTCCCAAAATGCTGGGATTATAGGCATGTGGAAATATAAGCCACTGTTCCTGGCCCTGGCTACCTGTTATAAAGGGTCTTTTAAAACAGGCAATAAAAATACTGAAATCTTTTCAGAAGCTTCTGCACACCAATAGGCATCCCTGAATAAGCCTAATTAGAGAGTCCTCATTTTTAAATGTACTTCTAAAGTGTAGCATTTTTCATTTGAAATGTTCTACTGCAACTTTAAATTACCTTTAGTAACATTTTGCCATTTTTGTAAGTGTTTGTAGGTAGTTGTAGCCAGAAAGTGGAGTACTCAGTTCTTCAGAAATTAAGGATCTCATTTTTATGTTGAATCTTGGCTTTGGCTCTCAGATTTCCTCACAACTTAGTCATTGACTTTTTTCCTACCTATGAGTGCAAGAAAAAGAAACAAAGGGGATAGAACACAAAAGTCCCTGCAAATTTCTGAAAGCTGAAGTTCATACTACCTACAATATTGCCATTTACTGTCAGTTTCTGTCTGATTCAGACATCTGAGGCCTTTAACTAGATCTAAGTCAGTTAATTATCAGACCTAATTTGATCCTGGACCCAGTCCAGTTTCTGTAACAACTTCCAAACCCAGTTCAGATAAAAAAAAAAAAAAATCTGCTCAAACAAACTCAGATAGCTCAGAACACAAAGCCGTGGAGCTTCAAAGTCTGAAAGAGAACTTACCCACGATCCCCAGTGGCTGCGAGAGAGCAATGGACACAATGGGCCCAGCGGGTACACCATTTGGTCACTCTATGCTTCCGGGGGTCGCTGGAAGTTCTACTATAGGTCCTATTTCTGACACCATCTGTTAAAAGAAAAACTTTGAACTAAATTTAATAGAGTTTAACCGATCAAAGAACCATTTGCGGCTGGGCAGCCCCCCCAAACCAGAATAGGTTCATGGCAACCTCAGTGCTACCATGAAGTCAGAAAGGATTTACAGACAGTAAGAGGAAGTGAGGTGAAGAAATAGCTGGATTGGTTACAGCTTGGCATTTGTCTTATTTGAACAGGATTTGAACAGTTGGCCACCTTTGATTGACCAAAACTTGGTGAGTGGTATAAGAGTTGGTTATAGTCTGTTTATACATTTAGTTAGGTTACAGTTCACTACTTATAGAGAAACCTTTAGTCTGAACTTAAAATATATACGGAGGCAGCTTTAGGCTAAATTTAACACGAGTTAGCTTTTATTAACAAAACACAAATTTATATAGAAATGTTAATAAATTCATAAGATTTTTATCATTATTTATTCTCTCTTCAATAGATGTTGATAGTCCAGCTACTAATATATCAGTGTTTGCAAAAAAACAAAAACAAACTAAAAGAAATAAAAAGGAACGAATATCTAACTGACAATGTTGGGAACAATCAATCCAGTCAAATAATGAAGTTATCATATCCAGGCTACATCATTCTGGCACACCAGAACTACCTTTAAATAATTTAACATTACGTTTTTGACTTGTATTGCGAGATGACTGTATGTACATTTTATCATCATTTGTGTAAAAATATGATCAAGTACACCATTTCTTATGTTGATTCCCAATGTAAAAAATAATATGAAAAATTCTTTTCAATATTTGAATTAGGAAAAAGTTTTCTCTGTGGATTAATCAGCATCCTAACTTGTGTGTTGTGATTTATTACATATGACGATAGACGGCAAAAATTTCATCTTTTTGTTTCTAGTTGCTACCAGATTGCTTAGGGCTAAGTTTTATGACAAACGACAGTGTTTTCTAGACTTTCTACATAATTACCCCCTACTGTTTTATTGCTGAGTTTTTACACTGTTTTCAATGATTTTATCCTATTTGTGCTTTTTATGATCTGAAGACTTAAATTCTTCTTGGAAGGAGGCCTAGTGTGAATAATAAATGAGAAGGTTAGGGCACCAGGCACCTGAGGTACAGAGAGGACACTGTCAACCGTTGGAGCAAAAACATTCAAAAGGGAAGGAAGGTGGAGGAGTAAAACACAGACTTACTTCCCAATTTTTCATAAAAATTTTTTTTTTCATTAGAAGGTTATGCTCTCTATAAGGCCAGGTGCGGTGGCTCACGCCTATAATCTCAGCACTTTGGGAGGCTCAGGTGGGCAGATCACTACAGGCCAGGAGTTTGAGACCAGCCTGGCCAACACAGTGAAACCCTGTCTCTACTAAAAAGACAAAAAATTAGCTGGGCGTGCTGCTGCATGGCACATGTCTGTGGTCTCAGTACTTGGGAGGCTGAGGCATGAAAACTGCATGAACCTGGGAGGTGGAGGTTGCAGTGAGCCAACATCATGCCACTGCATGTCACTGAGCCTGGGTGACAGAGCAAGACTCTGTCTCAAAAAAAATAAAAAATATAAAGATATGCTCTCTAGGATTTTGCCTTCAAAGATGATAAGCCACAGGGCACATATTAATATTCTTATTATTTATTTTTTGTAAGTTCCTTTCGTTTTTACTTTTTACAATTCTGAAAACAAAGTAGAAAAAAATTGCTAGATGTAAATTTGTAGAAAGCAAAATTTAATATGTAGTTAATAGTATCTACTATGTGCAAACATAATGCTAGACCAGTGGGGTCCTCTTCTCAGACAAATATTCTTAAACTCTTTCATTCAGAATTTGAAATCCAACTCAAGAAAAGAAAAACAAGGAGGAGGGAAGTTTCCTAGATAAATGGTAAGAGTTAGTATAATGAAGTAAACATTGGCCAGGCGCAGTGGCTCACGCCTGCAATGCCAGCACTTTGGGAGGCCGAGGCGGGTGGATCACGAGGTGAGGAGATCGAGACCATCCTGGCTAACACGGTGAAACCCCGTCTCTACTAAAAATACAAAGAGTCAGCCGGGCTTGGTGGCGGGCGCCTGTAGTCCCAACTACTCGGGAGACTGAGGCAGGAGAATGGCGTGAACCTGGGAGGCCGAGCTTGCAGTGAGCCGAGATCGCGCCACTGCACTCCAGCCTGGGCGACAGAGCAAGACTCCATCTCAAAAAAAAAAAAAAAAAAATTGAGGGTTTTGTTACCGACTCAAGAGGCCACCTAGATGCAAAAGCAACAAATAACATTCCCAGAAATACTATCGGTCAGAAAAAACACCCTATGTGTACCCTTCCTTAAAAACTTATTGAAAGACACATTCCTGTGAAGCAAGAGATAAATAAAGAGTAACGGTCTAAGTAAAGAGAAGGTGTGATATTTAAAAAATACTGTAGTTTATGCTGCCATGTAAAACTATCAAAGTAAAAATAATTGTTATAAGCATATCAAAGTTGAATGCAAAAACATTAATTTGAATTGCATCAAAAATAAGATGAATTAATAAGTAGAAAGATATACAGGTATATACTAAAGCAAATATAAAATGTTAATGGTAGAATCTAGGTGGTGAGTATATGGGTGTTCACTGTACAATTCTTTGAACTTTGCTGTGTGCTTGAAAAAGTTCATAATAAAATGTTGGAAAAGTGAATGAAGGATTTTCTTTCAAAAATTTCCAACATTTTATTACGTATGATGCAATAAATAATTAAATAAATAAATAAAAGCTCAGCAATAAAGGTAATATGAATCCATAACATGAAACCATGGCATACAAAGAAAAAAAAACCATAGAACCCCATCTCTACTAAAAATACAAAAAGTAGCCAGGCATGGTGGCACATGCCTGTAGTCCCAACAACCTGGGAGAATGAGGCAGGAGAAATGCCTGAACCTGGGAGGCAGAGGTTGCAGTGAGCTGAGATCACACCACTGCACTCCAACCCGGATGACAGAACAAGACTCTGTCTCAAAAAAAAAAAAAAAAAAAAAAAAGACTTCAAAAAAGAAATTAAAAGCATCTTCCACAAGAGGGAGTCCAAATCATTGAAACGATCTTTAACTTTATAGGTTCAAATATGTTTTTGGGGAACATTTTCTCTAGTCCTGGAGAAAATACAAGCAAAAGAAGCAGACACCATATTTTAAAAAATAAAGAAAAATGGCCAGGCGCGGTGGCTCATGCCTGTAATCCCAGCACTTTGGGAGGCCGAGATAGGCGGATCACAAGGTCAGGAGATGGAAACCATCCTGGCTAATGCGTTAAAACCCCGTCTCTATTAAAAATATAAAAAAATTAGCGGGGCATGGTGGCAGGCTCCTGTAGTCCCAGCTACTCGGGAGGCTGAGGCAGGAGAATGGCGTGAACCCGGGAGGCGGAGCTTGCAGTGAGCCGAGATCACGCCACTGCACTCCAGCCTGGGTGACAGAGCAAGACTCCATCTCAAAAAATAATAATAATAAAAAATAAAGAAAAACAATAATGAAGCATAAAACAAGCAGCAGATATCCAAATCAGTTAAGAGAATAAGTATAAATTACTAATGTTCACCTAGTAGAGTCAATAGAAAAAAAAACAAGAAAATATTTAAAAAGACAGATCAGAGACTTGACTCTATATTCAACATGTATTATAAAACTAATAGACTAAGTATCAATAGGTAAAGTGAATAAAATAGAAAACAATTAAACAGACATATATCACACACACACACATATAGATAAGGACAACATGGTGCTGGTGAAATCACATATAGAGGAGAAAAAAAGGATAAACGTTAACTATTAGAAAAAAAATTAAGTTGGCACCAACACTCATCCCATGCACTAAAATATCTAAAGGGTTAAAAACTTTTAAAAAAGGGAAAAAAATCACAATCAACAGAGTAAAAAAGCAATCTATGGAATGAGAGAAAATATTTACAAATCAAATCTTTGATAAAGGATAATATCCAGAATATATAAAGAATTTCTGCAACAAAAATATAAATAACCCAATTTAAAAACAGGCAAAGGAGTTACAGACATTTCTCCAAAGAATATATACAAATGACCAAGAAGCATAATGAAAAGATGCTCAGCATCACTAATCGTCTGGGAAATGCAAATCAAAGCCACAACAAGATATCACCTCACACCCATTAAGATGGCTATCATAAAAAATAAAATAAAATAACGAATATTGGCAAGGATGTTAAAGTCATTGGAACCCCTGTACACTGTTGGTAGGAATGTAAAATGATGCAGCCAGGGCGGAAAATAGTACTGCGGTTCCTCAAAAACTAAAAACAGAATTACCATATGACCCAGCAATTCCACTTCTCAGTATGTACTCAAAATAATTGAAAGCAGAGTACCAGAGAGATATTTCCATACCCATGTTCACAACCGCGTTATTCACAACAGCCAAGAGGTAGAAGTAACCCAAAAATTCATTAATGGATAAACAGATAAACAAAATAAGATATATACATACAATGGAATACTATTCGGCCTAAATTGGAAGGAAATTCTGACACACACTACAATATAGATGAACCCTGAAGACATTATGCTAAGTGAAATAAGTCAGTCAGAAAAAGATAAATACTGTATGATTCCACCTGTATGAGGTACATAGAGTAGCCAGACTCATATAAACAGAAAGTAGAGTGGTGGTTACCAGGGCCTGGGAGGAGGATGAAATGAAAAGCTGTTGTTTAATGAGTACAGAGTTTCAGTTTTGCAAGATGAAAATGTTCTGGAGATTAGTTGTACAACAATGTGAATATACTTAATACTTGTAAAACATACACTTAAAAATGGGTAAGATGGTAAATTTTACGTTATGTGTATGTTATCAAAATTTTTTTAAAAGAAAAAATATACAAAGCAAGACAAATTAAAATAGGAAAATATTGTAAATTAAAGCAAGAAAAAATACAGGTGAATATTAGGTGACAAAAATGATAGGGTTTTTTATAGCTAAAAGCAATAGAAGAAATCTTAAAATCAATAGATTAAAAAAATTTTAAACTGTGATATACAAAATTATCATTAAACAAAGCTAAAGAGCAAATAACAGACTGAGGGAAAATAACTGAAACAAAATGACAAAAGCTTAATATCCTTAATATACAAAGGTCTCACACCAATTCATTAGACAAACAGTAAAACTCCATTTTAAAAAGTGAGTGGGCAAGTACAGTGGCTCATGCCTATACTACCAGCACTTTGGGAGGCCAGGGCAGGAAAACTGCTTGAGCCCAGGAGTTTGAGACCAGCCTGGGCAACACAGGGAGACCTCATCTCTATGAAAAATTAAAAAATTAGTGGGCATGGTGGCACATGTCTATAATCCTAGCTACTCAGGAGGCTGAGGTGGGAGGCTCACTTAAGCCCAGGAGGTTGAGTGTGCAGTGAGCTGTGATTGTGTCACTGTACTCCAACCTGGGCAATAGGGCGAGACCCTGTCTCAAAAAAAAAAACAAAAAACCATGAGTAATGTATATAACCTACAATTTATAGAAGACATACGTTATTCTATTGGGAACCTAAACTCATTATATGGTCTAAAATCCATACAAAGACTCAAAAATATTCTTCACATACAGAAGGAAAAAAAAAGGAAACAGTACAAATATTGTTCATAAATAGTTAAATAAGGCCAGGTGTGGTGGCTCACATCTGTAATCCCAACACTTCGGCAGGCCAAGATGGGTGGATCACTTGAGCTCAGAAGTTCAAGACCAGCCTGGGCAACATGGTGAAATCCTGTCTCTACAAAAACACAAAAAATTAGCTGGGCATGGTGGCACATGTCTGTGGTCCCAGTTACTCAGGAGGTTGAGATGGGAGGATTGCTTGAGCCCAGGAAGCAGAGATTGCAGTGAGCCGAGATCATGCCATTGCACTCCAGCCTAGGTGACAGAGCAAGATCTCGTCTCAAAAAAAAAAACAAAAAACAAATTTAAATACATTTTGATATATATATTCACCAAATATTATGTAGCCATAATGTTCATGAAGAATATCAATACATCATTGTAATGTTAAATAAAAACAAGATTCTGGCTAGGTGCGGTGGCTCACCCCAGCACTTTGGGAGGCCAAGGCAGGCGGATCATGAGGTCAAGAGATGGAGACCATCCTGGCCAACATGGTGAAACCCCGTCTCTACTAAACACACAAAAATTAGCTGGGCATGGTGGCATGTGCCTGTAGTCCCAGCTACTCAGGAGGCTGAGGCAGGAGAATCACTTGAACCCAGGAGGCAGAGGTTGCAGTGAGCCGACATCACGCCACTGCACTCCAGCTTGGTGACAGAGCGAGACTCTGTCTCAAAAAAACAAAACAAACAAAAAAAACGCAAGATTCTAACCTAGATACACAGTTTTAGCCCAATTATGTTAAAACATACATAAATATGCAATCTGTAGGTACACAGAAAAAAGATGGAAGAAATTACATCAAAATTTAACACTATCTCTGAATAATTAGCTTACGATATTTTATTTTTCTTCAAACTTCTCCATAATTTTGAAATTCTCTATAATTTAAAAAGATATTCTTAAAAAATAAAACTAGCAAGCAATGATATACTCTACTGTATAATTTAAAAGCTCAGCTCTGCTTACCTGTTTTCATGGTTGGACTAAATAGTCCCAATACTGACACACTAGAATACAAGATGAGGTCTTTATATAATTCCCCACTTAAATATTCTTCTGCTTCTTGGATCGATGTTATATTCACTGGATATGAAATCCTGTTGCTGGATAAACATATAACTATATTACAAATTAATTTTTTAAGATATTTTCAGTTTGTAAAAAAAAAGCATACTAAACATAGCAAACAATATATTACATAGGATAATATCTTACAAAATATAGAAAATTAAATATTATTCTTAAAGAAAATCAGACTCATTAAACAAAATTGCTATCTCCCGAAAAGTGTTGAAATGTACACAGACTTTCATAAATATTCATTTTGTGATCTCAATTCTAGTATCTTCCTTAACCTATTTTAAGTGTTAGCAAAGTCTGAGAATTAGAACTTCTAAAGACCTAAACATTCAGAGATCTTATAATGAAGCTGAATACTTACAGCTGGATAAATTTTAGGAGATCTTCGGTTCCTAACATTCCAGCATAAGATACTGGGTTCTCGCCTTTCTTGTACATCTTTATGATAGGAAATTCAGTAACATTTTGCTTAGTACATACATCAGACCAATCTGCACAGTTTATTCTAGTAAGAAGCATAGTAGATGTGCCTAAATAAAAGGAAAATGCACATTTGTAATTACTAATTGTAGAAAATGCATTTGCTTAGGATCTTCAGTATTTTTCTATCCCATTCTTATTTTAACCTCTCAGCATGAAACACTCCTGCTTAAACACTCTCTTCCCTTGATCTTTGCAACACCATTCCCTGTTGGCCTTTTCCCTTCCTTTCTAGCTTCTCCTTTTTGTTCCCTTTTGCAGGCTCTTCAGCCAGTAGAGTTGGAGGTCCCTCAAGGCTCAGCTTAAGCTGCCTTCTCTTGTTTTTCTTCACTCCTGTCCTACACAACCTCAATAACCATAGACAATCTAATGAATCCTAAATTTATGTCTTTGGCCCAAACTCCTTGAAGTTCCAGACCCATATATCCTTACTACCTTCTCTGTTTTCCTTTGAACGGAAACCTCCTCAAACTCAACAAGTCTAAAACCATATATGGTTTCTTTTCTGTTTGTTGGTGAACGTTGCTGCTCTTGTGCAACTCAAAAAACAAAGCATCATCTTTCATACCTCTCCATTCCCAAGGCCCTTCATGCCTATTGATTAATCAGCATGTTCTTTCAATTTTACCACCTGAATTTTTAATATATCTAATTACTGTCCATTTCTCTTTACTGCCACTACTCAAGTTGTCGTTCCTCCTGGATAACTACAATAGGCTTCTAATTCGCCTCTTTGAATTCAGTGTGTCTACACTAATGCTAGAGATATCTTTTCAAAACTCAAATATTTTGGTACCAGCTTACCCCCACCAACCTTTTGCAGAATTAAATCTTTCTTACCGTGTACAACTTCAAGGACTAGCCTTCTCTGACACAGTGATCTACATCAGGTTCCCTTGACATATGCTATTATAGAACCATGCTCTTTTCCTTATCTCCTTATGTAATTATATACTATTCATTATCTGATCAACGTCTGTCTCTACCAAGACAACTCCTTGAGAGCAGGGACTATGTCTGTTTATTTATCATTGATTTTCCAGCACCTGCAGTACCTTAAATATGCATGTGAATAAATGACACATGTGAAACTCATCCAGGACTTCAGATACCTATCCTGTCTAAACATTATAATTTCTTTTCAGCCTAAGAAAACACACAGTAGAATCTCAAGCAGAAATTCCTACTTGCTCTATAATAAAACGTGTAAAGTTCTCTAAAATATTATAAATCACTGTGTGGAAAGAGATCAAACACTAAATAAAATAAGCACCATACAACTCGAAAGAATAAATTCTAATAAAAGATAAAATTTAGTATCATACTAGATCAAAGAAGGAATCTTTGTGTATCAATTTAGGATATAGCCTAAATGTTACTTCATCATATGATTAAAATTGTGAATGTGGTATTTTAATATTTTATCACCAAATGTTTTTAATACTGAAATTAATTTGTATATTTTCAAAGATTCTTGATTACTTCTCATAGATGTAATAACTTATCACTTTAGATTTAGTGTTAACAATCTGATAATATAGGCAAGATTTAGTCTGTCTTTTTTTTTTTTGCTTTTGTATATTTGAGATGTAGTCTTGCTCTTGTTGCCCAGGCTGGAGTGCAGTGGCGTGATCTCGGCTCACTGCAACCTTCCTCTCCCGAGTTCAGGCGATTCTCCTGCCTCAGCCTCCCGAGTAGCTGGGACGACAGGCACGTGACACCATGCCCGGCTAATTTTTTCTATCTTTAGTAGAGACAGGGTTTCACCATGTTAGCCCTAGGATGGTCCTGATCTGACCTCGTGATCTGCCTGCCTCAGCCTTCCAAAGTGCTGGGATCACAGGCGTGAGCCACCGCGCCCGGCCTTAAGTCTGTCTTATCACCACTATATCCCACTGCCTTGCACAATGTCTGTTACACAGTATGTACCCAGTAAAAATGTGTAGAATGTACACTGATATTTCTTCACAAATTTTAAATTCTTACATTAAAGGATATTAATACTTGAATTTTGTATGAGCATATAAACAAATATAAACCCTTATTTCTTCCCAAATCAGACCTGCTAAGTGACTTCCTATCAAAGTTCTCTTATCCTTTATTTTAATCATTTTGATATAGGAGTGAAGAAGAAATCACTTAGGCAGATAGCAAGGGTATGGGGAGTCCTCGGTAAGGTTTTTCTTTTTAGTGAAAAGCAGCCCCAAATCTTTTTCTAACAAAGAGCAGCCTGCAAGCTGCAAGGGTGCACGTACCGGCAGGAACTAAGGACTAGACGTTTCCAAGATGGCCGCTCTGTCTTCCCTTCTCTGCCAGCCATGTGTGCTGTAAGGAGCAGACAAGATGGCCCCAGACAACTGGAAAGACCATTTGTATAAGAAGATTAAGGTGGGGCGACCAGACTTCCCTATGCCACTATGTAAATATCATACCTGACTGAAGCAATCTATGAGCCCTATGTAAATCAGACACCACCTTCTCAAACTAGACTATAAAACTCGACACATTCGCTGCCAGCCAGTCCTTTCCACTTGGAGATGCCTTCCTCTATAGAGGAAGCTGTTTCTCTTTCTCTCCTCTCTATTGAACCTCTGCTCCTAAACAACTTGTGTGTGTCCGTGTTCTAAATTTTCCTGGTGCGCGACAACGAACCCCAGGGTATATACCCCAGACAACGCTGCTGCTTTGATTTCATCAATAAACATCTGGTGATGCTTGTTTATACAAAGTGCCACGTTACATATTTTGCCACCCAAGTATGGAATATAGTGCTCTTCCAGCTGCAGTTCTTTCCTTTCAATAAGCATCCTCAGCATGTCTACTACTGCTAAAACTGTGATTATTCCTTTTTCCCTACAGTTGAAATGGAAAACTTTGATGTTATCTTTAAAACCAGAAAAGTAATACTGATATATATCACTAAAAGTTATATAACTACTTATACTGAAGTTATCAATTCCTGTAAAATGGTTCCAATATTTACTCATGTTTCAGTTGGAATAGTCTAGTATTCTAAGGTGCCTACAGTATTACATCCCATATACTTTATCAATGCAGTAATTTCAAATAGGTTCCTAACTTAAAAGAAAAAACAGATTATCTTAGATACAGGTATTATGTAAGTATAAAATTTTGACATTTGCTGCCACCTTGTGACAGAGTAAAAAACATTCTTCATTGTCTTCGACTAAGAGATAACAAATGGCTTTTTCCCACAAAGTCAGATCTGTCAGAAAGACAGATGATAGGACTAAATGCCCAAGGTATTATATTTTCCTAACTTATAAAGTTATAGTATAGGCTTCAACATAGACACAAAACATTGTAATTACCTATGCAATGCATTTCTACATTAAGTTCCCTGAACTTCCAAAATAGTCCATTTATCTGATATCTGATTACCAAAAAAAATTGTTATTCATAAAGAACATAGTGAATGAAAAGGAAAACAAGTCCTGGGTTGCTTAACTACTTTTTTATTCTACAAACACATACAACTCTGAGCCCTTGCATTGAGGGGGCAGGTAGTCTCTTCATTTGGTCATTAATAGAAAAGAATGCAAGGAAATATTTTTCCATTTTCATCTGGTGTCTAATTAAATGGGGTGGAGAGAGGGATAATTAATCATATTCTTGAGGAACATTATCCAATCACTACTTCATTATGATTTATATTTTCTCCTCCTTTGCTTTTCTTCTAATTATTTGCCAATAAGGCTAGAGAATCTAAAAGAAGAAAACTTAAATTTGTCCATAGATTGCAACTTGCCTTGCATAAAGGAAAATGTGAAAGCAAGTAAGAGGATCTGCTTTTTAAAAAAATGATTAGAGGCTGGGCGCAGTGGCTCATGCCTATATTCCCAGCACTGTGGGAGGCTGAGGCAGGTGGATTACCTGAGGTCAGCAGTTTGAGACCAGCCTGGACGCTGTCTCTACTAAAAATACAAAAACTAGCCAAGCACGGTGGTGCACACCTGTAATCCTAGCTACTCGGGAGGCTGAGGCAGGAGAATCACTTGAACCCAGGAGGCGGAGGTTGCAGTGAGCTGAGATCATGCCATTGCACTCCAGCCTGGGCGACAAGAGTGAAACTCCATCTCAAAAAAAAAAAAAAATTACAGATCACAGTGTCTACAGACTTCATTATCCCCTCACTCAGTAATAATCAAAAGTTAGATCAAATGTGGTTGGGAAATAAAAGGAACGGGGACAGACAGAACAGCGTGTGGAGGCTCGCCTCATGAACTTTTGCTCCAAAACTGCAGCAATACATTAGGAAAGCCAAAAGAACCCACAGACCCTCTGAAGGAAGTGATTGCACCTGCAGGACCTGGGAGACACCCCAAATACTGTGAGTGCTCAAACTGTGGAAGTGGGAAAGGCAGATCGTCCACCCCTGAACACACACCCCACCACCGGGGAACCTAAAGGTCTAGATTACGGGAGAAGATTCTGACCTTATCTGGAGCTTAGTCAATTTAGAGAGCTGAGCGAAAGCGAAATACACGGGTAAAGGAAGCAGCAGGAAAATCCCTGTGGACTAGCTGGGTCCCCTACCAAGCCATTTGTGCCTCACCTCACAAGGGGTCCTTGAGGAGGGCTACCAGAGGCACTCAGAGAAGGCCACAGAGAAAAGGAAACCTCCCCCTGAAATTTGTAACAATTTGAACCAATCGAAGAGTCTCCTGGCCAGAACTCGGGGGAGGGCATGAATCCAGCGTGCAGACTCCACAGGCTGGGGAAGAAAGAAAGCCCTACTTATTTTTGCAGCTGGGAGGCAGGTAGCCTGGGGCAGGTTCTCAGCCCTGGTCACCCACTGCCTGGAAACAGACTTGGTGCTGTTGAGTGGGGGCACAGTGGAAGTGAGACTGGCCCTTTGGGTTGTGTGGGAGCTGGGTGAGGCCTGTGACTGCCGGCTTTCCTCCACTTCCCTGACAACCTGCATGACACAGCAAAGACAGCCATAATCCTCTTAGGAACATAACTCCATTGACCTGGGACCCTCACCCTCATCCCCCACAGCAGACGCAGCAAGACCTGCCCAAGTAGAATCTGAGCTCAGACACGCCTAGCCCTGCCCCCATCTAATGGTCCTTCACTACCCACCCTGGTAACTGAAGACAAAGGGCATATACTCTTGGGAGTTATAGGGTCCTGCCTACTGCCTGTTCCTCCCGATACCAATGCACTTTCAAGCCAATGCTCTCTTGAAAGTGCCATCTCCCAGCAGGAGGTAAACCAGCACAAAAATAGTGCATTAATCAACCAAAGCTAAGGACCCTCACAGAGTCCATTTAGCCCTTCTGCCACCTCCACTAGAACAGGTGCCAGTATCCATGGCTGAGAGACCCACAGATGGTTGACACCACAGGACTCTGTGTAGACAACCCCAAGTACCAGCCTGGAGCCTGGTAGACTTGCTGGGTGGCTAGATCCAGAAGGGGGATAACAATCACTACAGCTCGGCTCTCAGGAAGCCACATCCCTAGGAAAAGGGAAAGAGTACTACATCAAGGGAACACTCTGTGGGACAAAAGGAACTGAACAACAGCCTTGAGCCCTAGACCTTCCCTCTGACAGAGCCTACCCACATGAGAAGGAACCAGAAAACCAACTCTGGTAATATGACAAAGCAAGATTCTTTAACTCACCCCCGCAAAAAAATCACACTAGCTCTCCAGCAATGGATCCAAACCAAGAAGAAATCCCTGATCTACCTGAAAAAGAATTCAGAAGGTTAGTTATTAAGCTAATCAGGGAGGTGCCAGAGAAAGGCAAAGCCCAATGTAAGGAAACTGAAAAAAAATTATGCAAGAAGTAAAGGGAGAAATATTCAATGAAATAGATAGCATAAATAAAAATCAATCAAACCCTCAGGAAACAATAGACGCACTTATAGAAATGCAAAATGCTCTGGAAAGTCTCAGCAATAGAATCAAACAAGCAGAAGAAAGAATTTCAGAGCTTGAAGACAAGGTCTTCGAATTAACCCAATGCAACAAAGACAAAGAAAAAAATAAGAAAATATGAACAAAGCCTCCAAGAATTTGGGATTATGTTAAACAACCAAACCTGAATAATCAGTGTTCTTAAGAAGAGAAATCTATTTGGAAAATATATTTGGGGGAATAACCAAGGAAAACTTCCCCAGTCTTGCTAGAGAACTAGGCATCCAAGTACAAGAAGCCCAGAGAAACCTGGGAAATTAATCACAAGAAGATCAATGCCTAGGCACATTGTCATCAGGTTACCTAAAGTTAAGACAAAGGAAAGAATCTTAAGAGCTGTGAGGCAAAAACACCAGGTAACATATAAAGGAAAACCTATCAGACTAACAGCAGATTTCTCAGCAGAAACTCTACAAGCTAGAAAGGATTGGGGCCCTATCTTCAGCCTCTTCAAACAAAACAATTATCAGCCAAGAATTTTGTACCCAGCAAAACTAAGCTTCCTAAGTGGAGGAAAGATACAGTATTTTTCAGACAAACAAATGCTGAGAGAATTCGCCACTACCAAGCCAGCGCTACAAGAACTGCTAAAAGGAGCTCTAGATCTTGAAACAAATCCTGGAAACACATCAAAAAAGAACCTCTTTAAAGCATAAATCTCACAGGACCGACAAAACAGATACAATTTTTTTAAAATGGTATACAGGCAACAAATAGCATGATGAATGGAATGGTATCTCACATCTCAATACTAACATTGAATGTAAATGGCCTAAATGCTCCACTTAAGACACAGAATTGCAAAATGGATAAGAATTCACCAACCAACTATCTGCTACCTTCAAGAGACACACCTAACACATAAAGACTCACATAAACTTAAGGTAAAGGGGTGGAAAAAGACATTCCATGCAAATGGACACCAAAAGCGAGCAGGGGTAGCTATTCTTGTATCAGACAAAACAAACTTTAAAGCAACAGCAGTTATAAAAAAGACAAAGGGCGTCATTATATAATGATAAAAGGCCTTGTCCAACAGGAAAATATCACAATCCTAAATATATATGCACCTAACATTGGAGCGCCTAAATTTATAAAACAATTACTAATAGACCTATGAAATGAGATAGACAGCAACATCATAATAGTGGGAGACTTCAATACTCCACTGACAGCACTAGACAGGTCATCAAGACAGAAGGTCAACAAAGAAACAATGGCTTTAAACTATACCCTGGTACAAATGGACTTAACAGGTATTTACAGAACATTCTACCCAACAACCACAGAATATACATTCTATTCAACAGCACATGGAACTTTCTCCAAGATAGACCATATGATAGAGGCCACAAAATGAGCCTCAATAAATTCAAGAAAATTGAAATTATATCAAGTACTTTCTCAGACCACAGTGGAATAAAACTGGAAATCAACTTCAAAAGGAACCTTCAAAACCATGCAAATACATGGAAATTAAATAACTTGCTCCTGAATGATCGTTGGGTCAAAAATGAAATCATGATGGAAATTTAAAAATTCTCCAAACTGAATGACAATAGTGACACAACCTATCAAAACCTCTGGAATATAGCAAAGGCAGTGCTAAGAGGAAAGTTCATAGCCCTAACTGCTTACATCAAAGTCTGAAAGAGCACAAACAGACAATCTAAGGTCACACCTCTAGGAACTAGAGAAACAAGAACAAACCAAATCCGAACCCAGCAGAAGAAAGGAAGTAACCAAGATCAGGGCAGAACTAAATGAAATTGAAACAACAAAAAATACAAAAGATAAATGAAACAAAAAGCTGGTTCTTTGCAAAGAAAAATAAAACTGATAGACCATTAGCAAGATTAACCAAGAAAAGAAAAGAGGAAATCCAAATAAGCTCTATTAGAAACGAAATGGGAGATATCACACTGACACCACAGAAATACAAAAGATCATTCAGAACACCTTTGTGCACATAAACTGGAAAACCTAGAGGAGATGGATAAATTCCTGGAAAGATACAACCTTCTTAGCTTAAATCAGAAAGAATTAGCTACTCTGAACAGTGCAATATCAACCAGTGAGATTGAAATGGTAATAAAATTACCAACAAAAAAAAAGTCCAGGACCAGACAGATTCACAGCAGAATCCTACCAGACATTCAAAGAAGAATTGGTACCAATCCTATTGACACTATTCCACAAGATAGAGAAAAAGGGAACCCTCGCTAAATCATCCTATGACACCAGTATCACCCTAATACCAAAACCAGGAAAAGACATAACCAAAAAAGAAAACTACAGACCAATATCCCTGATGAACATAGATGCTATAATCCTCAACAAAACACTAGCTAACTGAATCCAACAACATATCAAAAAGATAATCCACCATGATCAAGTGGGTTTCATACCAGGGATGCAGGGATGATTAAAATACACAAGTCAATAAATGCGATACACCACATAAACGGAATCAAAAACAAAAATCACATGATCATCTCAATAGATGCAGAAAAAGCATTCGATAAAATCCAGCATTCCTTTATGATTAAAACTCTCAGCAAAACTGGCATACAAGAAACATACCTCAAAGTAATAAAAGCCATCTATGACAAACCCACAGCCAACATAATACTGCATGGGGAAAAGTTGAAAGTATTCCTTCTGAGAACTGGAACGAGACAAGGATGCCCACTCTCACCATTCCTCTTCAACACAGTACTGAAAGTCCTAGCCAGAGCAATCAGACAAGAGAAAGAAATAAAGGCATCCAAACTGGTAAAGAGGAAGTCAAACTGTTGCTGTTTGCTGGTGATATGATTGTTTATCTAGAAAACCCTAAAGACTCATCCAGAAAGTTCCTAGAAATGATAAAACAATTCAGCAAAGTACCCAGATACAGAATCAATGTACACAAATCAATAGCTCTTCTATACACCAACAGCGACCAAGCTGAGAATCAAGTCTAGAATTCAACCCCTTTTACAATAGCTGCAAAAAAAAAAAATAATAAAAATACTTAGGAATATACCTAACCAAGGAGGTGAAAGACTTCTACAGGGAAAACTACAAAACACTGCTGAAAGAAATCGTGGATGACACAAACAAATGGAAACACATCTCATGTTCATGGATGGGTAGAATCAGTATTGTGAAAATGACCATACTGCCAAAAGCCATCTACAAATTCAACACAATTCCCATCAAAATACCACCATCATTCTTCACAGAACTAGAAAAAACAATCCTAAAATTCACATGGAACCAAAAAAGAGCCCACATACCCAAAGTAAGACTGAGCAAAAAGAACACATCTGGAGGCATCACATTACCTATTTGAAACTATAAGGCCAGAGTCACCAAAACAGTGTGGTACTGGCATAAAAATTGGCACATAGACCAATGGAACAGAATAGAGAACTCAGAAATAAACCCTAATACTTACAGCCAACTGATCTTCAACAAAGCAAACAAAAATATAAAGTGGGGAAAGACCTATTCAACAAATGGTGCTGAGATAATTGGCAAGCCACATGTAGGAGAATGAAACTGGATCCTCATCTCTCACCTTATACAAAATCAACTCAAGATGGAGCAAAGACTTAAATCTAAGACCTGAAACTATAAAAATTCTATAATAAAAAGAAGACAACATTGGAAAAACGCTTCTAGACATTGGCTTAGGCAAGAATTTCATGACCAAGGACCCAAAAGCAAACACAATAAAAACAAAGATAAATAGCTGAGACTTAATTAAACTAAAGAGCTCTTGCACAGCAAAAGGAACAGTCCAGCAGAGTAAACAGACAACTCACAGAATGGGAGAAAATCTTCACAATCTATACGTCTGGCAAAAAACTAATATCCAGAATCTACAATGAACTCAAACAAATCAGCAAGAAAAAAACAAACAATCCCATCAAAAAGTGGGCTAAGGACATGAATAGAGACAATTACAAAAGAAGATATACAAATGGCTAATAAACATGAAAAAATGCTCAACAACACCAATGATCAGGGAAATGCAATTCAAAAACACAATGAGATATCACCTTACTCCTGCAAGAATGGCCATAATCAAAAAAATAAAAAAATAATAGATGTTGGCGTGGATGTGGTGAACAGGGAACTCTTCTACTCTGCTGGTGGGAATGTAAACTAGTACAACCACTGTGGAAAACAGTGTGGAGATTCCTTAAAGAACTAAAAGGAACTTGATCCAGCAATCCCACTACTGGTTACCCAAAGGAAAATAAGTCACTATATGAAAAAGATACTTGCACACGTTTATAGCAGCACAATTTGCAATTGCAAAAACATGGAACCAACCCAAATGCTCATCAATCAACGAGTGGACAAAGACACTGTGGTGTGTGTGTGTGTGTGTATATATATATATGTATATATATATATATATATATATATAATGGAATACTACTCAGCCACAAAAAGGAATGAATTAATGGCATTTGCAGTGACCAGGATGAGACTGGAGACTATTATTCTAACTCAGGAATGAAAAACCAACCATCACATGTTCTCACTCATATTTGGGAGCTAAGCTATGAGGATGCAAGGGCATAAGAAAGACAAAATGGACTGTGGGGACTCAAGGGGAAAGGGTGGGAATAGGGTAAGAAATACAAGGCCACAAATTGGGTGCAGCACAGTATATACTGCTCAGGTGATGAGTGCACCAATATCTCACAAATCACCACCAAAGAATTTACTCATGTAACCAAACACCACCTGTTCCCCAGTAACCTATGGAAATAAAAAAAAATTTTAAAAAAGGAATGGTACACTTAGGGTTGAGTGTCTAGAATCAATTTCTTGAGTTTTCAAAAGCTTCAATGTATAAATAAGTTGTACATCAGTACATAGTTTCCACTAAATGAAACAAAATTTATGAAACTCTATTATTCATTTATCCAACAATTATTGAAAACCAGATATTCTGCAATGTAAGGCAATATGCCAAGCCCAGTAAGCTGATATAAGGCACACTACCTAACCATAAGGAACTTACATCAAGCACACCTAATCCATTATTACCTCTCTTACTAACAGGCCTCCCTCATTTTCCCCTATGTCTTTGCTGAGATGGTAGCACAGATATTTTCAGTTAAAGTCCATTCCTTGGATCTTTATTTGCCCACTATTAAATGAGGTTTCACAGGATGGTTAACATAAAAAGATCCTGGATATTAAAAAGCATTCCATCCATGAGGAGTAAACTATATAGTTTCAAGGACACGGGGATTTTTGATCTCTCATTAGACCATGAGACTGGGTCTTGAATCTGCCAAATTTTTATTTCCAGTATTTAACTGGAGTAACTGGCACAGAGTAGGCACTCATAAATGCTTGCTGAATGACTGACTTAAACCAAAAAGGTTGTTGTATTAACTGTGTAGCCACAAGTACTAAATACATAGGCTTTCTACTTTCTACTAAAGACAGTTCTATGAAGACAAATCAAAGTGAATGCTCCTAAGCACTCTTGAAACTCCTGGTTCATTAACTTAACCCTGGAGACACAAACATAGTAACTGAAATTTTATGTGGTTTTCTATATTTTTTGCATGACATAGTTTTACAAATAGCTACAGCTTAGAATCAGAATAATAAGCATGCATAGCACAGTACACTACCTTTCAGTTTAACTGCCACATCAATATAGGATTGCAAAAATGCCATGGATACTGCTTGCCCTATATGAAAATTAAAAATTCAACAGATATTACATGTATATCTACAAAGCATCCACACTGATATGTAACAAATATACAGATTTATGAGGTTTCCCAAAATTATTGTTAATCAGAAATATTCTACTATACATTTCTCAACATAGTCCAACCACTTAAGAGAGTTTCAAATGCAACTGATTTTCCGCACTTGTACTGCAAGGAATATAGCTAAATGGCTATGATTTGAAGATAAAAGCAATATACTTACTATAAATCTATAATAACTGTTAATATGTTAAAAATCATTAGCGTGAGTCACAATTTTTCAAAATTAATGAACATCTAGTTTAATCATTCACCTTTAATTTGTAAATCAGATATAAATCAATTGCACAATCCCAGAATCAGAAGTAAATGCTTCAATGCACACAGTCTACTTGAGACATACGAAAGCAATTTCATTTTACAACATGCAATACATGGAATGCCAAAAATTAAATCTGGGTTTTTAAATGTCCTAATATGTAACAGTCCTCTAAAGGCTCATACTCACAACCAGCATAGAAGAGTACTATGCTGTCAGAAGCCATCACTGTTGCATTAAATGTTTCTTCTGTTAGTTCCACTGTAAGTTCCAAAGGTAATTTTCTCTTCCTATCTCTGAAAACAGTTTCTGCCACTTCATCATCCTGAACATCTAAAATGTTGGAAAAGAAATTAATTTAAATATTGATGTATAATGAAAACTATTTAAGCTCTTCTCATAGGAAGCATATAATAATTCAGTACTTTATACAAACTTTTGAATTCATCCTATCTTAATAGTTAGGATGCATGATATTTAGAAAACTTTGCAGTTGCTTAACTGACTCTGAGATGCTTCCTGACCTAGAAGTTGGGAAGTTTTAGTCAATTTCAAAATTAAAATTTGTTCTACAAAGAATATTAATAGTGCCATTTTGTTTATTTTGCCTCTACTATATGCCAAGCATTATGACAGGCACTAGGAAAACTGGTAAACAAAACAGACATAGTCCTGACCACATGGAACTTCTATCTATGGAAAAGTCAGATAAACTGATCACTGAATAAATATATAATTATAAATTATGATCAATTTATGAAGAAAGGTAAAGGATACACTGAGAGATTATAACAGGGCTATTTAGATTGGGAAGCCCAAAGTCTGCCAGGTAGAGAATCAAGAAAAGAATGTTTTAGACAAAGACAATAACATATACGAAAGCTCTGAGACATAAAAGAGTTGAGCACATACAAGGCTGAGGGAAGGCAAATTTGACTAAGACAAGATGGGGCTGAAAGAATAAACAGCATGAGAAAACTCTAGGCTAGGCAGTGGCTAGATCATAAGAGGTCACATGAGCCAAGAAGTCTGGATTTTATCCAAAAAGCCTCAAGTTATGAGTGGATTCTGAATATGTGAAACCCTTCCTTTAGATAGACCAATCAATAGACTGATAGATTCATCCATCCATCCATCCATCCAACCATCCATGTACCTTCAAAAATACATTTGGATTCATAAATATTCTGTTGGAAGTTTGTAGAGATTGTACGGTAAGACAGATGGAGCATATAACTTGATTAAAGGATAAAGCTTCTTTATGAACATGAAAACATGAACATGAAAAGGAAAATAAAACTCAGGTAGGCAGAGAAGAAAGGCAGTGGTGGCATAAAGAGCAAAGAGAATGGCATGAGCAAAGGCACAGTGGCATGTAAGAGCATGGTGCAATCAGAAGTTCAAACACTGACTGGATATACGATGGTATTAAGAATTGTTAATTTTTTAGATGTAATAATAGTATTAATTATGTTAATGTTAAAAAGGAAAATCCTTATATTTCTGAAACCCAGGGAAATACTTATAGATGAAATTACATGTTTTGGATTTGCTACAAAACAATAAGGGGGGGGGGTGATTGGAGCAGAATGAGCCATGGTTTGATAATGGCTGGGGCCAAGTAATGGATAACAAGAATTTGTTCTATTATTCTCTCTCCGTATGTTCGTAATTCTCTGTAACAACACATTAAAAAGAAAGAAGGGAGAGAGAAGACAATACATTCATAGAACTAAAGTATTGTTTTATACATAATTTCTAATACAGTCACGTACCACATAATGATATTTCAGTCAACAATGGACAACATATACAACTGTAGTCCCTTAAGATTATAATAGAGCTGAGAAATTCCTATCATCTGGTGATGTAGTGGCCATTGTAACATCGTAGCACAACACATTACTCACATGTTTGTGGTGATGCTGGTGTAAACAAACCTACTGTGAGTCATATAGCACATAAGGCCAGGGACAGTGGCTCACACCTGTAATCCCAGCACTTTGGGGGGCCGAGGTGGACGGATCACTTGAGGTCAGGAGTTCGAGGCCAGCCTGGCCAATATGGTGAAACCCCGTCTCTACTAAAAATACAAAAAATTAGCAGGGCATGGTGGCGCATGCTTGTAATCCCAGCTACTTGGGAGGCTGAGGCAGAACAATCACTTGAACCCAGGAGGTGGAGGTTGCAGTGAGCCGAGATTGCACCGCTGCACTCCAGCCTGGGCGACAAAAGTGAAACTCTGTCTCAAAAAAAAAGAAAAAAGTACAGCACATATAATTATGTACAGTAAATAATACTTGATAATGATAATAAAGGACTAGATTATTGGTTTATATATTTACTATACTCATCATTAGAGTGTACTCCTTTCACTTATAAAATAAAAAGTTCACTGTAAAACAGCCTCAGGTAGGTCTTCAGGAGGTGTTCTAAAAGAAGGCACTATTATCATAGGAAATGACAGCTCCATGCTTGTTACTGTCCCTGAAGACCTTCCAAAGGGACAAGATGTGGAAGTGGAAGAGAGTAATATGGATGATCTTGATCCTGTACAAGCCTAGGCTAATGTGTGTGTTTGTGTTTTCGTTTTTAGAGAAAAGTTTAAAACGTAAAACATAAAAGTTTTAAATGGAAAAAAGCTTATAGCATAAGGATATAAAAAAAGAAAATATTTTTGTACAGCTGTATGATGTGTTTGTGCTTTAAGTTTAATGTTATCACAAAACAGTCAAAATGTTTTTAAAAATTGTAAAAATGTATAAAGTGAAAAAGTTACAGTAAGCTAAGACAAATTATTGAAAAAAAATTTATAAATTTAGTACAGCCTAAGTGTACAGTATTTATAAATCTACAATAATGTAATGTTCTAGGCCTTTACACTCACTCACTGACTCACCCAGAGCAACTTCCGGTCCTGCAAGCTCCATACATGGTATGTACCCTATACAAGTGTACCATTTTTTATCTTTTATACCATGTTTTTATTGTACCTCTTCTGTGTTTACACGTTTAGATACATAAATATCTACCATTGTGTTATAGGTACCTACAGTATTCAGTACAGTAACATGCTGTATAGGTTTGTGGCCTAGGAGCAATAGGATATATCATACACCCTAGGTGTGTAATAGGCTACACCATGTAGGTTTGTGTAAGTGAACTTTATGATGTTTGCTCAATGAAATCACCTAATGATGCATTTCTCAGAAACTATCCTCATCGTTAGGAGACACATGACCATACAATAAATTAAAATTCTAGATCTGGATTTCACTACAACCTCAGCCATTTTCTATACGACTCTAGTCAATCACATAACTCTCTGGGCCTCAATGTTCAACTCTTGTGAAGCATGAGAGTTGCACTATATAACTTAAAGGTACTTTTAAGCACCAAATTCCATGACACTAAAAATTACATTCTCAATACCAAACTTAGTAAAGACCTATTTTCTTATTTACTGTATTTTTTTCTTATTATTCATATATTTTCATTTTCCTGTCAGTCTTCTGTTTCTTTTTCCTCCTTTCCCTCTTTTCTTATATTCTAAATAAGCTACCATCACTTGTACATTTAGTCACTCCTCAGCTCTACCTTCAACCTATTCATTAATAACATACACACTATTTTCAGTCACACATGCTGCTTTTTTTTTTTTTTTTTTTTGAGACAGGGTCTCACTCTGTTGCCCAGGTAGGAGTGCACTGGCAAGATCTCAGCTCACTGCAACCTCCAGCTCCTGGGCTCAAGTAATCCTCCCACCTCAGCCTCCCAAGGAGCTGGGATTACAGGCACATACCACCATCTTGGCTAATTTTTGTATTTTTTGTAGTGATGGGGTTTTGTCATGTTGCCCAGGCTGGAACACATGCTTCTTTTCTTTTTTCAGATTGCCCTTCTGTGGAATCTAGTCTTTTTCATTCTGATTCCATTTTGCTGATTTTCTCTGGGGTGCACCTGTCTCTGATTTACATTCTCAGATGGTAATAAATTCTTTCCTAACCCTTATCTAGTTTTCCTTTGTAAACGGGAGTGATACAGAGGGAGGGGGAAGAATTAGATACAGGCACAACACCATACAACATTCTGGGCCAGTATGGATTACTGATAATAGGAAGTTAAGATGAAAAATAAACAAAAAAGGCAAAGCTGCAAAAGAAATACTAGAAACAGGCTGGAGGTTATTGAATGTTTCCAACACAAAGAAACGATAAATGTTTGAAATGATGGATACACTCAATACCCTGACCTGATCACCATACATTGTATGTATTGAAACATCACTATGTACCCCACAAATAGGTACAGTTATTATTGGTCAATTAAAAAAATGGAAATAAAAACCAGAAAGAGAAGGCAGCATCAGAGGGTAAGTAAGGCCACAGAGTCAGGAAACAATATAGAGGCTGTGGCCACAAAGAAATCTTCAAACAGGCGACTCCCACTGAAGACAGGAATCAAATAAACTGAGACTAGGGACAAGTCCTCTAACTCTGAAGGTTCAAATATAGGAACCATTACAGGAATAAGCAGGAAACAAGAGACCAGAACACAGGTCTGCTTATGTAATGACAAGCCCACTGAGAACTCCAGAGAGGAACACAAGCAATTCTAACCCCTGCATATCGGAAAAGAACCAGAGCTCTGCTCAAACCAAGAAACTGGTCACTGGTAAGAGTGAAAGCTCTTACTAAATTTATAATATAGATTTTGATCACAATGCATGGACCTCATGAAAATGATATGTAAATTGCTTCCTTCTTGGAGCTCATAATGGTACTATATAAAACATTCAAGTATTTACTATATATGTTATACAAAAATGAACAAGACATAATCCTTGATTTAGAAATATTTATAGACTAGCAGAGAAGAGAAAAAAGCAAATGAATAATTACAGAAGAGGATTAATGTTATGAAAGATGTATCAGAAATAATTATTTCACTATTGCCCAACTGTTACACTTAAAAAATATCAAATTTTAGGCCACTAGATTATTCTAGCGAAGTATTCTTGACTGTCACTAATAATAAGATTTTATTTCAGGATGCTTAAGTTCTAGCCCAGTCCCTACCACCTGCTACTTGTGGGACTTTGGGCAGATCACTGAACTCAGGAAATGCAGACTCTTCATGTATAAAATGAAAGTGGTATCAGCTAACTCAGAGAATAATAATCAAAGTAAATAATATGTGGGAAAAAGAGTTAAAAACTATACAATACTTCATAAATGTAAGCAATACATTTTTAAAAAACTGAAATAACTGTTTAAACGAAGTGTTAAAATGTTACTGAAATTTACTTCTTATACCATTAACAACTGGATTTATTTACAAGTACAAATATAACAATATTTATTAGAACTCCATTTCCTAATAAAAATAGTAACAATGAATTATCATGTTGTAGTTTCTAAGTAGAGTTTTTAAACATGGACTAGTCCAGAACGGCTGAAAGAACTGATATGGAAGATGAAGGCACAGATGTGGGAAGTTTGAAGCCTGATATGTAACAGTAAATGTTAATACATTAAACAAAATATAGCATCCTTACATCTTTTCAACAAATCAACTTGATAAAATGTGGTTCCAAATAAATTCCGCCAGGTTTCTTTACAGAGTCTTGAATCTGAACACATTCTTGGAGAAAGTTAATCCATTGGAAATTTCACTGACTTTATGGGTGCTGGGCAGGATGGGGAAGGGGTGAGAATCATAACACATTACCTATATCTGGACCTTCCATGTCATTGTCTTCATCTTCTTGTATTTCCTCAATGTGCATATTATTTTCCACATGAGATATTATTAAATCAACATCATGTAATACCAAAAATTCCACTGGAACTCCCTAGAAATACATTAATTTTTAAAAAATGAATATAGCAAAGTATTTTGACATAAAAATGTTTTACTTGGGCCAGGTGTGGTGGCTCACACCTGTAATCCCAGCACTTTGGGAGGTCGAGGCAGGCGGATCATCTGAGGTCAGTAGTTCGAGACCAGCCTGGCCAACATGGTGAAACTGTCTCTACTAAAAATACAAAAATTAGACTGGCGTGGTGGCGCACGCCTGTAATCCCAGCTACTTGGGAGGCTGAAACAGGAGAATCGTCTGAACCCAGGAGGCAGAGGTTGCAGTGAGGCAAGATTGCACCACCACACTCCAGCCTGGGCGACAAGGCGAGACTCTGGGAAAAAAAAAAAAAAAAAACAAGTTTTACTTGTTTGACACTAAAATAAAACTAAGCCTTTGAACTTCAATTCTAAAATTTAGCAAAATGAAAAAGGAAATTAACTCCAAAATTACTGTGAAAAGAAAAGCATACCTTCTGTAAAGACAATGTGTACACTGAAAAAGGTGGCAAAAAAGGTGCTGAAAGCCTCACTTGCTTCTTGTCACAACCACATTATACTGAAGTCTGTAAAGCATTTCACATGTAATACCAAGTTCTACCTCTTTATAAAATGGAAATATATACAATTTTACTGCAAATAGAGTAAATCAAAATTGATTATTCTGACATTCCACAGAAATATTCAAAACAATACTTCATCTAAATTAATTCCACTAATAAGTTCAATTTCCTGTTTAGCTATAAACAACACTAAATTACTATGTGCTCCCAGTTATTTTAAGAATACCAAATTCTATTGAGATCGATATTAATTAATATTAAAAAATATTACTTAAGATTTATTTCACTATTGCCCAACTGTTACACTTTTAAAATATGAAATTTTAGGCCACTAGATTATTTTAGCAAAGTGTTCTTGACTGTAACTCTATATTGGAATAAAGCTATGAGCTCTAAGTATGTTTGTTCTTTGCTATCACATATCTTCATTTTTTTAACATTATATTCGAAACGAGCAATTTTAATTTCTACAGAAATATAATAAACTTAAAAAGTAGAGGAATCAAAATCAAACTTAATTTGTTCCAAATATTCACAGAAATTTTTGTAGTAAACCTTTTAATTAAAGTATAACATTAACACAGAAAAGAACAAAAATTTTAAGTATAGAGTTTGATGGATTTTTACAAAGTGGACACACTTGTATAACCACCATACAGATTAAGATACAGAACATCATCAGCACAACCAGTGGCCATCTTCTTGCTCTTCCTGTCATTAACATCCCCCAAAAGTAATCACTATTCTGTCTTTCATCACTGCTATGGTTTGAATTCTGTTTTATCTTGTTTATTTTTTTGAGACAGGGTCTGTCTCTGTCACCCAGGGTGGACGTGCAGTGGCACAATCATGGCTCACTGCAGCTCAAACCTCTGGGGCTCAAGTGATTCTCCCACCTCAGCCTCCTGAGTAACTGGGACTATAGGCATGCACCACCACACCCAGCCAATTTTTTGTAGAGATGGGATCTCCCGATGTTGCCTAGGCTGGTCTTGCACTCCTGGGCTCAAGCGATCCACCTGCCTCAGCCTCCCAAAGTGCTAGATTACAGGCACGAGCCACCATGCCCAGCCCAATATTATTTTAAACAAAAAGCAGAATATATAGCATAATTCTGATTTTGCTTTATTTAAAAAAATACATATACATACGTGAACATAGGATACAAACCAGACTGACACATGATAAAAACATCAAAACGTTAACAGCAATTTTCTTTGAATAGGAGCAATTTATAATTTACAGATTTTTCTATAATAAAAATATATTAAAGACCACATATATTAGCTTTCTTTAAATAAACAGATATTGTAGAACAATACATAAAACAACTAACCTCTTCTGCTCTTTTGAAGACCACATTAGCATCTTGAGGAATGTTCACTTCCAAAGAGTCCCTTTTTCAAAATGGAAATAAATGTTTTATGTTGCTAATCTGAAGAATAATAGTCACCCAGGACTTCAATAGAAAATAGAACTACATTCTTATACTAAAAATTATGAAAAAATATTACAATTTAGTGACTGAAAAATTTTACACGTAAACATAGACCAGATTTTCTAGTCTCCATCTTAATCTCCATCTTTATTTAGCAAGGTTTAAAATTCTAAGTTTTAATCAACCTTAAATGAATGTACAGATTTTAGCTCAGCAACTAGTTCTAACTATATTGGAATCTATTAGAGATTTGAGTTTACTTATAAGTGATTAAATTACCATATTTTAAAACGTGGAAACTATTAGCGTTTTGCTAAATATAGTAAATATTCGATGTTTAAGATACCTTAACAAGAGTAGAACTCCTGCTTTTCCCAGAAGACGCCAAGCAACCCATTCTGCAGTTCTTCTATCAGCTTCATAAGTAGCCTGTTGGCTAACAATAAAAACCAGTGGTAAGCCCAGTTGGAGATGGACAGTTGAAACTTGTTGAGGATCTTCAGCAACTTCAGTCTTCATTGAAAAAAAAAAAAAAAAAAGGTGTGATAACAATATTCCAACATTTGGATTTAAATTCTCCTAATTCTTATTAATAAAGTCATGAGTAAAAAAAAGTGTAAAATAATCCAACACTAACAGAAACGATCTCTTAATTCCCTGAATTTAATGCTCCCAATGCACCTATATAGTTTTGTTTGTTTGTTTTTTGAGACAGAATCTTGCTCGCTCATCAGGCTGGAGTGGAATGGCACAATCACAGCTCATTGTAGCCTTAGCCTTCTGGGCTCAAACAATCCTCCCACCTCAGCCTCCCGAGTAGCTGAGACCACAGGTGCACACCACCATGCCTAGCTTTTTTTTTTTTTTTTTTTTTTTTAAATTTTTTGTAGAGACGAGGTCTCCCTATGTTGCCCAGGCTGGTCTTGAACTCCTGGGCTCAAGTGATCCTCCCACCTTGGCCTTCCAAAGTGATGGGATTACAGGCATGAGCCATCGTGCCTGGCCCCCTATAAGTTTAGGCATTATAAAACTAACAGATTTTATAAGAAGTTAAACCAAAAATTACAATCATAAAGAATAAACATATTATAAATAAACAAAAACAATAAATAAGTGTGGGACTAATTGATATAGAAAAATATTTCAAGGGAAATAGATAACTAAGGAACAAACTTTTTCATTAAGAATTTAACATATAATGACACATTACAAAACAATGAGGAATATCTGAGTTAAAGTAGCAAATTAAATACACACATCTAATTTCACTCCCTCCAGAACTCCCAGGAAAACTACAGCAGCAGGATTTTTAAAAGAGATAAACACATGGATGTGAAGAAGGGAAGAGAAAAGATAGCACAATTTTAGAAGTCAGAATAATAACTGACTTAGGAGATCCTACAAAGCAAAAGCCTAAGCCATTAGAGGGAAAACTAAGTTTTAACTACAGAATCCTAAAATTGCTCAGGAACTGTCAGTGTTAGGCATGTCTGGACCTGGGAAGGAAATGTTGGAAGGGAAGTGACAGGAAGGCTCTAAAATAAGGAGGAATGTGTCAAAGCTTTTGAGAGGTAGTTAGATCCCTAGATTCCCCTCCCCAACTCTATGAGTTTAAACAACTGTCACTTCCCTACACCAGCAGAAATCTAGGAACAGTTGACAGTGTGGACACCATGCCGAAATCAGGGGTATTAAGTAACCAAATGTTGAGACGTTCCCCTCACCCCAGGTCCCTTTCCACTCAGTTCCCAGAATGCCAGCAGCTAGGCCTTTGTCCTCAATTGGAATTTGTATCCTTTTTGGGGGACTGAGTAACCCCAAAAGCCTAAAGATACTGACATTGGGATTCGCCAAAAAGCAGGCCAGGCCCAGTTACTTTATAGAGCTCTAGGCTCGGCCCTGCTCACCTCTTCAGTCTGCTTACTGCCTAAGAGACATAGACTTCTGCCACTGCTACCCGCACCTTCTCTACCTTCCACCATAGATGTCTCCCAGACAAGACTCAACCACACTTCTTGAATTCTCACACAGAGAATGTGTGAGAATCTGCAACAGTGTTGCCTGCCTCTGCCCCTCCTCCACGCTCCTCTTTTGCCGCCACCCAGCACAGCTGGCTTCAGGGTCCATCTGAGCACTGCTTGGCGTTCCCAGGACATTTGAACTAGGCAGGGAGGTGGGGTGTCATGTGGCCAGGTGGCCAGAAGGCACTAAGAAATCCCATGGGATGGTCTGTGCAGATCAGACACTTACCAGTCAGGGGGCAGAAATGTCAAGGGCAGCTTACAATGGTGCCACCTTCTCACCATTCCCCCTTCCCAACCCTCCTCGGCCCAGTCAGCCAAAGAGAGTCAGTACTATTTTGGCCACATCTCTCAAGTCTCCCCCAACCCCAACTGCCTTGAAGTCTCTGCTTTTTGTCAGAGACTTGCAAAGACTGATGTTTTTGTTTTGTTTTCTCATCATTCCATTGTGATAGTAAGAAACTAAGAAGATTAATGAAAAGGTCAGGCACGATGGCTCACGCCTATAATCCCAGCACTTTGGGAGGCCAAGACAGAAGACCATTTGAGGTCAGGAGTTCAAGACCAGCCTGGGCTACAAAGCGTGACCCTGTCTCTATTTTTTTTTTAAAGAAAAAATTATATAAAAATTTAAAAAGAAGATTAGAGAAGAAATAAAATGTGAACACATGTCACTGTTCTATATATATATATATATATATATACACACACACACACACACATATTTAAAAGTCACCAAGTCCCACCAATGTTAGAATTTCCAATCAGCTTCTAGTTTCAAATTCTAAATTGTGAATAGATATCCAAGGATTAACAAACACCTGAGGAAAGCCTCTAACATGAAAGACAGAGACTAGAACACATAGAAAAATAAATAACATAGAGAAAATACAGACTATGTGGGAAGAAGAAAGGTTCAGAAACCACCATAGACAACCTCAAGGAGATGGGAAGACACTGGATCCATAAAGAATTGAAAAATAAAGTTAAATAAATCTCCCAGAAAGCACAACAGAAATAGATGGAAGATAGAGAAAAAAGGTAATAAAATTGAAGGACTAGTTCAAGAGGTCTAACATCTAAATAATGCAAGTCACAGAAAAAGAGAAGGGAGAATATAGAAGAAATCATCACTGAAATAAACACAAAATTTTCCCACAACTGAAGGACATGAGTTGTCAGATTGAAAGAGCCCACTGAATAACCAATAGAGTGGATAAAAGCAGATACAAAGGAAGATGCATTCTCCTAAACTTTCTAATAATTAAACTTTTTTTTTTTCCAAGATAGAGTCTTGCTCTCTCACCCAGGCTGGAGTGCAGTGTCAGGATCTCAGCTCACTGTAACCTCTGTCTCCCAGCCTCAAGCAATCCTCCCACTTCAACCTCCACCAAATAGCTGGGACTACAGGCATGCATCACCAAGCCCAGCTAATTTTTATATATTTTGTAGAGATGGGGTCTCGCCATGTTGCCCAGGCTGGTCTCGAACTCCTGGACTCAGCCAATCCACCCACCTTGGCCTCCCAAAGTGATTCCTATCACCAGGGGATAGGAACCTTGGGAGCTATCTTAGAAGTCTGTCTACCATAGGTAAGTATAGGATTCTCTTCGGCAATTTTTAGGAAAGATATATATATATATATAAAGTACTCAATAACTTGAGTTATTAAGTACTCTTAATACAGCCCCCAAGATTCCTACCCCCTAGTGAACAAATCTTGTATAATCCCCTCCCCTGAGTGTCAGTAGGACCCGTGGGTAGCCATTCCTTTGGTTACGTGACATTACATAGAAGTCTGCTGTAACACACTCAAGTAAGATTCTCCCACTGGCTTTGAAGGAGCAAGCTGCAATGTTGTGAGAGGGCCATGTGGCAAGGGCTTGAGAGCAGCCTGTAGGAAATGAGAACAACCCCTGTCCAACAGCCAGCAAGAAAACAGAAACCTGGGTCTTACAACCACAAGCAACGAATTTCTGCCAAAAACCTAGATGAGTGAAATACCCTGAAGGAGTAAAAATGCCTGTTTTTTTTTCCTTGTGTATTAGGAGAACTATTAGTAATTAGTAATTCAGTATTATAAAGCAAAAAGGAGGAATAGTCAGTAAGGCTAGAAATCTGGCAAGGGGCCAGATCATTGAAAGCCATGAATATCCTGCCAAGAAAATGGGGCTTTATTGTGTAAGTAAAGTGAAGCCATTTATGAATTGCATGAACTCATGATCACATATATATTTTTAAAATATCACTCTGTCAGCTTTCAAATGATATTTCAGATGTAAAATTACATGCAGGAAGATGTAGGAATTAAGCATGTTTTCCCAGATGTCTGCCATCAATGAATGGACAGTAAGATAACCAAAATAATAGAAAAAGAACCAGTGGTGGTGAAGGACAATACCTTAATGTCACATGTGTTGTGCTTAAGGAGGGATACATCTAATTAACAGTTAGACATATGGGTGGGAGCTCCAAATAAACATGTGACCTGAAAATTCAGATTTGAGAATCCGTGTAGTTAATGCCACAGAAACAAATGAGATCACTTGAGGGGTGTGCTTTGAGCAACTATCACTGTGTAGCAAAGTACCCTAAAACCTGGTACCTTAAAATGATAAGAATCATTTCTTTTGCTCAAATATGTGTAAGCTCATCTCTGCTTCATGTGGCATTAGTAGGCTATTTCAACTGGAGGCTGAAGATTCTACTTTACAGATGGCTCATACACATGGCTAATAAGCTGTTGCTGACTATTAGGAGCTCAGCCAGGGCTGTGGTCTAAGGGCCTTGATTCTCCTTTTTATGGGCTTCTCCTCAGGCTGCTTAGTCTAACAACAAGGTGGGGGTTTTCAAGAATGAGCAAATAAAGAGAGCAAGGCAGAGGCACATGACATTTTGTGAAACATAGCCATTAATGATATATGAAGTCATATATCATCACCTTAGCCTCATTCTGTTGGTCAAGACAGTTACAAAAGCCCAACCAGGTTCAGGTAGAGAAGTCAGACTCCACCATCCCACAGGTACAGTGATAGGGTGACATGATAAGGGGAGCTTATGGGATGGGAGGTACTGTTGGACTTTGTGAGTCTTGGAGAAAGGAGTGAACCTCTTTTGCATGTGGGAGGGATTACTGCAGCGGTAGTCTGCCCCCTGGCTAAAACAACTCATATCACTTCCATGTGTAAAATACACACCTCTCTCCAAGACTCCTAAAGCCTTATCCCATCAAGCTTTGATTGAGTCCTGCACAAAGTTTAATACATCATCTACATTTAGTTCCAGGTGCAGGTAAGTCCTTTGCATACAGCTCCTTGAAAACTATTCCTCTCAATCTGAAGACCTGTGAACTAAAGAGACAGATCGGCCACCATGGTGGCTCACGCCTGTAATCCCAGCACTTTGGGAGGCTGAGGCAGGCGGATCACGAGGTCAGGAGATCGAGACCATCCTGGCTAACATGGTGAAACCCCATTTCTACTAAAAATGAAAAAAAATTAGCCGGGTGTGGTGGTGGGCACCTGTAGTTCCAGCTACTCGGGAGGCTGAGGCAGGAGAATGGCTTGAACCTGAGAGGTGGAGCTTGCAGTGAGCCGAGATCGCTCCGCTGCACTCCAGCCTGGGTGACAGCACGAGACTCCATCTCAAAAAAAAAAAAAAGAGACAGATCATTTTCCCCAATACATACACAACAGACAATGATGGGACAGGCATAGTATAACCACTATATACACTCCTAGTTGAAGCGGGGAAAAATGGAGGCACACGATAGTCACTGGTCTATAGCAAGTCTGAGGTCCATTCAGGCATATGTTGCCAGTTCCTTGACTAGGGCTCAGTCCTGTTCCCTGAACTTGAGACTCTTGGTTACAAAGTCTGGGCCTAGGTCTGCCCTCCAACTCGTCTTTTTTTTTTTTTTTTTTTAAAGCCTGTGATTGCAGCTGAGTAGATTTCTTAGCCTTTTCCTGCCCCTCAAAATTTGGAGTATAAAGTACATATATCATTTTGTGCTATTTCTGTCTCTTACCATACAAGTTGGTATAATTCTTTTAAAATCTTGTGGGTTTCCTAATTATGACTTTTTTATGATTTTATGATTTTTTTTTTTTTTGAGACAGAGTCTCACTCTGTTGCCTGGCTGGAGTACAGTGGCATGATTACAGCTCACTACAGCCTTGACTTCCCCAGGCTCAGGTGATCCTCCCACCACCTCAGCCTCCCAAGTAGCTGGGACTACAGGTGCATACCATCATACCCAGCTAATTTTTTATGTTTTTGTAGAGATGGGGGTCTTCATATTTTGCTCAGGCTGGTCTCAAACTCCTGACCTCAAGCGATCCACCCAACTCAGCCTCCCAAAGTGCCGGGATTATAGGCGGGAACCACTGCACGCACCCTAATTATGAAGTTATAATCCATTCCATTTGACAAAAAACAAAATCACAAATGTCCTTGATAGGCAGATAAAGTCATAGGGTAGTATCATAAAAATTATAACTAAATAAAATATGTAATATAAATAGAAATTAGTATAAGAGTAGATATAAAAGTGACAGAAACATTCTTGCATTGGGGTACAACTACCAATATTTTTCTACAATTCATGTATTACTATTAAATAACTAAAATTACTTAAAAATTAACTTTCAAAAATGATATAATAAACAGGATTATAAAAGACTATTATGAGCAATTATATGCCAATAAATTTGATAACTTAGAAGAAATAAATTCTTAGAGACATACAACCTACCAAGACTGAATCATTAATAGAAAATCTGAACAGATCTAGAACTAGTAAGAAAATTAAATCAGTAATCAAAAACCTCCCAACAAAGAAAAGTCCAGGACCAGATAGCTTCAATGGAAAATCCAACTAAACATTTAAAGAAATAATGCCAATCCTTCTTAACCTCTTCCAAAAATTCAAAGAGGTGAGAATATTTCCAAACTCATTTTATGAGGCCAGCATTATCCTGATACTAAAGTCAAAGATACTGCAAGAAAAGGAAACTACAGAGCAGTATGAGCAATATCCCTAATGAATATTAAGGCAAAAATCCTCAACAAAAACTACCAAACTGGGCTGGGAGCAGTGGCTCAAGCCTATAATCCCAGCACTTTGGGAGGCTGAGGCGGGCGGATTGCCTGAGCTCAGGAGTTCGAGACCAGCCTGGGCAACATGGTGAAACCCCATTTCTACTAAAATACAAAAAATTAGCCAGGGCATGGCAGCATGCACCTGTAATCCCAGCTACTCAGAAGGCTGAAGCAGGAGAATCACTTGAACCCAGGAGGCAGAGGTTGCAGTGAGCCGAGATTGCGCCACTGCACTCCAGCCTGGGCAACGGAGCAAGACTCTGTCTCAAAAAAAAAAAAAAAAAAAACCTACCAAACTGAATTCAGCAGCACATTAAAAGGACCACTCATCATGAGCAAGAGGGATTTATGCTTGCAATGCAAGGATGGTTTGACACACAGAAACTAATTAATGTAATACTGTACACCAAATTGACAGAACAAAGGACAAAAATCACATGGTCATTTCGATTGATGCAGGAAAAGCATTTGAAAATATTCAACACAATTTCATGATAAAAACTCACAATAAACTAGGAACAGAAATAAATTACCTCAAGATATTAAACAGCATAAATGAAAAGCCCAGCCAATATCATATTCAATGGTTAAAAAACTGTGAACTTTCCCTCTAAGACCATGAACAAGTCAAGGATACCCACTCTTGACACTTTTATTCAACATAGAACTGAAAGTCCTAGCCACACCAATTAGGTAAGGAAAACAAATAAATGCATCAAAATTGGAAAAGAAGAAGTAAAATTATCTCTGTTCACAGGTAATAGGATCTTATATGTGCAAAACCCTAAAGATCACACACACACACACACACACACACACACACACTCACACACACCAGAAAACCATAAGAACCATTTTGCAGGATACAAAATCAGCATACAAAAATCAGTTGCATTTCTATACACTAATAATGAGCAATCCAAAAATAAAATTAAGAAAATAATCCCATTTACAATAGCATTGAAAAAGAATAAAATACTTTGGAATAAATTGAACAAAGGAGGTAAAAGACCCTTATACTGAAAACTACAAAACATTGCTGAGAGAAAATTTAAAAGACATAAATAAATGGAAAGACATTCTGTGTTCATGGATTAGAAGACTTAATAATATTATTAAAATGTCTATACTACCCAAAGCAATCTACAGATTCAATGCAATCCCTATTAAAATCCCAATGGTATTTTTTGCAGAAATAGAAAAAAAATCCTAAAATTCATATGGAATCTCAAGGGATTTCAGATAGCCCAGACAATCTTGAGAAAGAAGTACAAAGCTAGAGGCCTCACACTTTCTGATTTCAAAATATATTACAAAGCTACAGTAATCAAAATAGCCTAGTACTGGCATAAAAACAGACACATAGACCAATGGAACAAAATAGAGAGCCCACAAATAAACCTTCATGTATATGTTCAAATGATCTTTGACAAGGATGTCAAAACCACTCAGTAAAGAAAGGACAGTCTCTTCAATAGATGGTGCTGGGAAAACTGGATATCCACATGCAAAAGAATGAAAATGGACCCTTATCTCACAGCATATACAAAAGTTAACTCATAATGGATTAAATACCTAAACATAAGACCTGAAAGTAAAACTCCTAAAAGAAAACATAGGGGGAAAAGTTTCATGACATTGAAATGGGCAACAATTTCTTGGATATGACAACAAAAGCACAAACAACAAAAGCAAAAATAGACAAACTAAAACTTCTAATAGAGTAAAAAGACAACTGAATGAGAGAAAATGTCTGCAAAACATATATGAGATAAAGAGTTAACATACAGAACATACAGAGAACCCCCATAATTCAATAACAAAACAAATAACTCAATTTTTTAAATGGACAAAAGACTTGAATAGACATTTTTCCAAAGAAGATACACAAATGGCCAAGCATATGAGACGATACTCAACATCACTAATCATCGGGAAAATAAAACTCGAAACCACCATGAGGTATCATCTCATATCCTTTAAAATGGCCACTATCAAAAAAAAAAAAAGAAAAGAAAGAAAAGAATGACAAACGTTGGTGAAGATATGAAGAAATGAACCCTTGTGCACTGTTGGTGAGACTGTAAAATGGTGCAGGCACTATGAAAACAGTACAGTCATCCCTCAGTATCCATAAGGAATCAGTTTCTCTACACCCCTTAAATATACCAAAATCCATAAATGTTCAAGTTCTTTATATAAAAGTCATAGTATTTGCATATACCTACACGCTCCATCTTGTATACCTTAAAATCATCTCTAGATTATTTATAATATCAAATACAATGTAAATACTATGTAAATAGTTGTTATACCATAATTTAATTTTGTATTATTTTTATTGTTATATTTTTATTTTTATTGGGTTTTAATTATTTTTCATCTGCAGTTGGTTTAATCCAAGGATGCAGAATCCACAGATACAGAGGGCTGAGTATATGGAGGTTCTTCAAAAATTAAAAATGAAACTACCATATGATCCAGCAATCCCACTTCTGGGTATATTTTCAAAAGAATGAGAAAAAAGATCTCAGAGAATACCCATGTCCATTGCAGCATTACTCACCATAGCCAAGAGGTGGAAGCAACCTAAACGTCTATCAATGGATGAATGGATAAATAAAATGCGGTATATACGTCCAACGGAATATTATTCAGCCTTAAAAAAGAATAAAATCCTGACATACACTACAACATGGATGAACCTTGAGGACATTATTCTAAGTGAAATAAGCCAACTGCAAAAACAAATATGGCATAACTCAGTGTATATGTGGTATCTACAGTAATCAAACTCATACGAATGGAAAGTAGACTGGTGGTGTCAAGGACTGCGGTCAGGTAGAGGGGAGATGTGAAGTTGTGTGTTCAATGAGTATAGAGTTTCAGTCGTGCAATATGACAAAGTTCCAGAGACCTGCTGTACAACAACGTACATCAGCTAATACTGTATTATACACTTTCAAATTGTGATGAGGGTAATCTTACACGGTTTTTACAACAATGGAAAAAAAGTCTCTAAAATAACCATGTTAGGAAACACTATGCTGCACAATATTGCACACTGCCACATAAGTTCTCTAGAAATAGGAGCTAAATGAATAAATCATAACAGCATCTTTCTAATTTCCTATATAAAAGAGTAGGTTTAACTTAATTCAAGTGTCTTGAATCTGAGACAGACAGCTAGATGAACAAACAAAAAATAATGTAAAAATTTCAGAAATTATTAAAAATGTATAAACTTACCCATCTTTTAACATTTTATTAGATATTTGCACTTGAGAATTCAGATTCTCAATTGGGATTCAGATAAAAGCTTTCCTTCTATCTACAAATATAAACTGAATCCATCATGGAGAAAATCATCAGCATTCTAAAATGTCCTTGGTATTTGCCAACAGGACAATAATTGAACCATTTTCCCATCTGTGTTCACTGTTGGGAACCTTAATAATACATCTAAAACAACTCCATATCTGGCAGAATCTTACTTAACCTATTTAAGATTGAAATTCACTTAAAAATTCTATACTCAAGATTTATTTTCAGTTTGACATGATCAAAATGACACACCTCCCATCGTGAGTATAAGACATAGTTGTGTTATATATCTACAATTAGGTGTCCAAGTACCCTGTTTACCTAAAAGAAAAAAAAAGCAATAAACACACATACAAAAGCAATCTGCATCTATTTTCATATGCTTAGAAGTGAACTAATAATACATATAATTGCAATGATCAGACACAATGCCGTTTACAAAAAAGCCTGAATCCTACTTTCCATTTTTATTAGTTTATAAAAAGACTTTGTAAACATACCAAATTATTTCAGATCCTGAACCCAGAAACCCAGGCTAATTTGCAAAGCATCTTACCAAACACACAAAACCCAACCATGATTAAACCCCAAGGGCTTGTATATAGAATAATGTCTAAGATAACAGGGGGAATGAGCTTCAGTAGTACTATGAGAGAATAAGAATAAAGCAAGAAACATGAATTCAAAGTCCTATGAAGTCGGCTACTAATAAGAACCTGTAAGAAGTCAACAAATTTAGGTACCACCTTTTGGGACCTCTCTATCTCATTCCAGTTAACTATACCATCAAAGGGTATAACCCGTTAGAACAAATTTTGGTCTAAGAGGTGTTTCCTATAAAAGTGTTTGGCGTGACTCAGTTTTTTTAACCTCAAATGTATTATTTAAGAACAAAAAACAACCTCAAATACTGATATGGTCAAATGTTTAAAGAAATAAAACATAAAAGTGACCAAACCAGCTGAGGATTCTAACATCTTCCTAATTCCACCGGGGTAAGCCTTAGCCACCCGCCAATAGTCTCAAGGAATCTTTCGAGGCTTTGTCTCCTTTTCTGTACTCTGCATTCATTTTCTCTGTTCTGGTCTATGAAAGTCCACGAATCTGTGCTTCTAGGCCTCACTCTGCCAAGTATTCCTAGGCTGACATCAAGGTTTGAATTCTCAGCTTAGCTTTCCAATTTGGCTCTGATCTTCAATTCAGCCTTTCAGATCTTTCTTGGTTTTATGCTACTGGTCATTCCTACCTATTTCAGTGTCTACCGGGGCTTCTGGAGCCTCTGCCTGAATCCTATATCCAAGTTCCCTAGTTGTCTAGGAAAAAAAAGTTCAAACAAATAAAACGCTTATGCATTATTCTGTGAAAGTGTTGAAGCAAAACCTACTCCAGACTTTGATTAACAATTTAATATTCCTTTTGAGTGAACAGTGGTTAGAGCAGGGTCACCTGCATGGCACAACTCTACAAAGTACCATTGACATTGTATTTTATAAAACGTGTATTTCAAGGGGCTGTTGTTCCTACAGAATACAATATAAATGATGCCCTTAATTTTTTGCCATGTTATGCTTTCAGGTAAAACCACACTTAACTGAAGTCATTATGAAGTTTCCAAAGCTTTGGTTTTTTAATTTCAAAACTAATACTACAGGGGGGTGGAGCCAAGATGGCCAAATAGGAACAGCTCCAGTCTACAGCTCCCAGAGTGAGCGAGGCAGAAGATGAATGATTTCTCCATTTCCAACTGAGGTACAAGGTTCATCTCACTGGGGATTGTCAAACAGTGGGTGCAGGACAGTCGGTACAGCGCACCGAGCGTGACCCGAAGCAGGGTGACGCATCGCATCACCCAGGAAGTGCAAGGGGTCAGGGAATTCCCTTTCCTAGCCAAGAAAAGGGGTGACAGACGGAACCTGGAAAATTGGGTCACTCCCACCCTAACACTGCGCTTTTCCAACGGTCTTAGCAAATGGCACACAAGGAGATTATATCCCGCGCTTGAGGGCTCCGAGGGTCCTATGCCCACAGAGCCTCACTCATTGCTAGCACAGCAGTCTGAGATCAAACTGCAAGGTGGCAGCGAGGCTTGAGGAGGGGCGCCCGCCATTGCCAAGGCTTGAGTAGGTAAACAAAGCAGATGGGAAGCTCCAACTGGGTGGAGCCCACCACAGCTCAAGGAGGCCTGCCTGCCTCTGTAGACTCCACCTCTGGGGGCAGGACTTAGCCAAAGAAAAGGCAGCAAAAACCTCTGCAGACTTAAATGTCCCTGTCTGACAGGTTTGAAGAGAGCAGTGGTTCTCCCAGCACGCAGCTTGAGATCTGAGAACAGACTGCCTCCTCAAGTGGGTCCCTGACCCCCAAGTAGCCTCACTGGGAGGTACCCCCCAGTAGGGGCAGACTGACACCTCACATGGCCAGGTACTCCTCTGAGACAAAACTTCCAGAGGAACAATCAGGCAGCAACATTTGCTGTTCACCAATATTCGCTGTTCTGCAGCCTCTGCTGCTGATACCCAGGCAAACAGGGTCTGGAGTGGACCTCCAGCAAACTCCAACAGACCTGCAGCTGAGGGTCCTGACTGTTAGAAGGAAAACTAACAAACAAAAAGGACATCCACACCAAAACCCCATCTGTATATCACCATCATCAAAGACCAAAGGTAGATAAAAAACCACAAAGATGGGGAAAAAACAGAGCAGAAAAACTGGAAACCCTAAAAATCAGGGCACCTCTACTCCTCCAAAGGAACGCAGCTCCTCACCAGCAATGGAACAAAGCTGGACAGAGAATGACTTTCATGAGTTGAGAGAAGAAGGCTTCAGACGATCAAACTACTCCGAGCTAAAGAAGGAAGTTCGAAGCCATGGCAAAGAAGTTAAAAACCTTGAAAAAAGATTAGACGAATGGCTAACTAGAATAACCAATGCAGAGAAGTCCTTAAAGGACTTGATGGAGCTGAAAACTATGGCACGAGAACTACGGGACAAATGCACAAGCCTCAGTAGCTGACTCAATCAACTGGAAGAAAGGGTATCAGTGATGGAAGATCAAATGAATGAAATGAAGCGAGAAGAGAAGTTTAGAGAAAAAAGAATAAAAAGAACAAAGCATCCAAGAAATATGGGACTACGTGAAAAGACCAAATCTACGTCTGACTGGTATACCTGAAAGTGAGGGGGAGGATGGAACCAAGTTAGAAAACACTCTGCAGGATATTACCCAGGAGAACTTCCCCAGTCTAGCAAGACAGGCCAACATTCAGATTCAGGAAATACAGAGAACACCACAAACATACTCCTCGAGAAGAACAACTCCAAGACACATAATTGTCAGATTCACCAAAGTTGAAATGAAGGAAAAAATGTTAAGGGCAGCCAGAGAGAAAGGTCGGGTTACCCACAGAGGGAAGTCCATCAGACTAACAGCTGATCTCTCAGCAGAAACTCTACAAGCCAGAAGAGAGTGGGGGCCAATATTCAACATTCTTAAAGAAAAGAATTTTCAACCCAGAATTTCATATCCAGCCAAACTAAGCTTCATAAGTGAAGGAGAAATAAAATACTTTACAGACAAGCAAATGCTGAGAGATTTTGTCACCACCAGGCCTGCCCTAAAAGAGCTCCTGAAGGAAGCAATAAACATGGAAAGGAACAACCGGTACCAGCCACTGCAAAAACATTCCAAATTGTAAAGACCATCAATGCTAGGAAGAAATTGCATCAACTAACGAGCAAAATAACCAGCTAACATCATAATGACAGGATCAAATTCACACATAACAATATCAACCTTAAATGTAAATGGGCTAAATGCTCCAATTAAAACACACAGCCTGGCAAATTGGATAAAGAGTCAAGACCCATCAGTGTGCTGTATTCAGGAAGCCCATCTCATGTGCAGAGACACACATAGGCTCAAAATAAAGGGATGGAGGAAGATCTACCAAGCAAATGGAAAACAAAAAAAGGCAGGGGTTGCAATCCTAGACTCTGATAAAACAGACTTTAAACCAACAAAGATCAAAAGAGACAAAGAAGGCCATTACATAATGGTAAAGGTATCAATTCAAAAAGAAGAGCTAACTATCGTAAATATATATGCGCCCAATATAGGAGTAACCAGATTCATAAAGCAAGTTCTTAGCGACCTACAAAGAGACTTAGACTCACACACAATAATAATGGGAGACTTTAACACCCCACTGTCAACATTAGACAGATCAATAAGACAGAAAGTTAACAAGGATATCCAGGAATTGAATTCACTTCTGCACCAAGCAGACCTAATACACATCTACAGAACTCTCCACCCCAAATCAACACAATATACATTCTTTTCAGCACCACACCACACCTATTCCAAAATTGACCACATAGTTGGAAGTAAAGCACTCCTCAGCAATGTAAAAAAACAGAAATTATAACTGTCTCTCAGACCACAGTGCAATCAAACTAGAACTCAGGATTCAGAAACTCATTCAAAACCGCTCAACTACATGGAAACTGAACAACCTGCTGCTGAAGGAATACTGGGTACATAACGAAATGAAGGCAGAAATAAAGATGTCTTTGAAACCAATGAGAACAAAGACATGACATACCAGAATCTCTGGGACACATTCAAAGCAGTGTGTAGAGGGAAATTTATAGCGCTAAATGCCCACATGAGAATGCAGCAAAGATCTAAAATTGACACCCTAACATCACAATTAAAAGAACTACAGAAGCAAGAGCAAACACATTCAAAAGCTACCAGAAGGCAAGAAATAACTAAGATCAGAGCAGCAGAGCAGAACTGAAGGAGAGAGACACAAAAAACCCTTCAAAAAAATCAATGAATCCAGGAGCTGGTTTTTTGAAAAGATCAACAAAACTGATAGACCGCTAGCAAGACTAATAAAGAAGAAAAGAGAGAAGAATCAAATAGACACAATAAAAAATGATAAAGGGGATATCACCACCGATCCCACAGAAATAAAAACTACCATCAGAGAATACTATAAACACCTCTACACAAATAAACTAGAAAATCTAGAAGAAATAGATAAATTCCTCGACACGTAGACTCTCCTAAGACTAAACCAGGAAGAAGTTGAATCTCTGAATAGACCAATAACAGGCTCTGAAATTGAGGCAATAATTAATAGCTTACCAACCAAAAAATAGTCCAGGACCAGATGGATTCACAGCCGAATTCTACCAGAGGTACAAGGAGGAGCTGGTACCATTGCTTCTGAAACTATTCCAATCAATAGAAAAAGAGGGAATCCTCCCTAACTCATTTTATGAGGCCAGCATCATCCTGATACCAAAGCCTGGCAGAGACACAACAAAAAAAGAGAATTTTAGACCAGTATCCCTGATGAACATTGATGCAAAAATCCTCAATAAAATACTGGCAAACCAAATCCAGCAGCACATCAAAAAGCTTATCCACCATGATCAAGTGGGCTTCATCCCTGGGATACAAGGCTGGCTCAACATACATAAATCAATAAACGTAATCCAGCATATAAACAGAACCAACGACCAAAACCACATGATCATCTCAATAGATGCAGAAAAGGCCTTTGACAAATTTCAACAACCCTTTTTTTTTTTTTTTTTTTTTTTTCTTTTTTCTTTTTTTTGAGACGGAGTCTCGCTCTGTCGCCCAGGCCAGACTGCGGACTGCAGTGGCGCAATCTCGGCTCACTGCAAGCTCCGCTTCCCGGGTTCACGCCATTCTCCTGCCTCAGCCTCCCGAGTAGCTGGGACTACAGGCGCCCGCCACCGCGCCCGGCTAATTTTCTGTATTTTTAGTAGAGACGGGGTTTCACCTTGTTAGCCAGGATGGTCTCGATCTCCTGACCTCATGATCCACCCGCCTCGGCCTCCCAAAGTGCTGGGATTACAGGCGTGAGCCACCGCACCCGGCCTTCAACAACCCTTCATGCTAAAAACTCTCAACAACTTAGGTATTGATGGGATGTATCTCAAAATAATAAGAGCTATCTATGACAAACCCACAGCCAATATCATACTGAATGGGCAAAAACTGGAAGCATTCCCTTTGAAAACTGGCACAAGACAGGGATGCCCTCTCTCACCACTCTTATTCAACATAGTGTTGGAAGTTCTGTCCAGGGCAATCAGGAAAGAGAAGGAAATAAAGGGTATTCAATCAGGAAAAGAGGAAGTCAAATTGTCCCTGTTTGCAGATGACATGATTGTATATCTAGAAAACCCCATTGTCTCAGCCCAAAATCTCCTTAAGCTGATAGGCAACTTCAGCAAAGTCTCAGGATACAAAATCAATGTGCAAAAATCACAAGTATTCTTATACACCAAGGACAGACAAACAGAGAGCCAAATCATGAGTGAACTCCCATTCACAATTGCTTCAAAGAGAATAAAATACCTAGGAATCCAACTTACAAGGGATGTGAAGGACCTCTTCAAGGAGAACTACAAACCACTGCTCAGTGAAATAAAAGAGGATACAAACAAATGGAAGAATATTCCATGCTCATGGGTAGGAAGAATCAATATCGTGAAAATGGCCATACTGCCCAAGGTAATTTATAGATTCAATGCCAACCCCATCAAGCTACCAATGACTTTCTTCACAGAATTGGAAAAAACTACTTTAAGTTCATATGGAACCAAAAAAGAGCCCACATTGCCAAGTCAATCCTAAGTGAAAAGAACAAAGCTGGAGGCATCATGCTACCTGACTTCAAACTATACTACAAGGCTACAGTAACCAAAACAGCATGGTACTGGTACCAAAACAGAGATATAGACCAATGGAACAGAACAGAGCCCTCAGAAATAATGCCGCATATCTATAAGTATCTGATCTTTGACAAATGTGACAAAAACAAGAAATTGGGGAAAGGATTCCCTATTTAATAAATGGTGCTGGAAAAACTGGCTAGCCATATGTAGAAAGCTGAAACTGGATCCCTTCCTTATACCTTATACAAAAATTAATTCAAGATGGATTAAAGACTTAAATGTTAGACCTAAAACCATAAAAACCCTAGAAGAAAACCTAGGCAATACCATTTAGGACATGGGCATGGGCAAGGACTTCATGTCTAAAACACCAAAAGCAATGGCAACAAAAGACAAAATTGACAAATGGGATCTAATTAAACTAAAGAGCTTCTGCACAGCAAAAGAAACTACCATCAGAGTGAACAGGCAACCTACAGAATGGGAGAAAATTTTTGCAATCTACTCATCTGACAAAGGGCTAATATCCAGAATCTACAATGAACTCAAACAAATTTACAAGAGAAAAACAAACAACCCCATCAACAAGTGGGCGAAGGATATGAATAGACACTTCTCAAAAGAAGACATTTATGCAGCCAAAAGACACATGAAAAAATGCTCACCATCACTGGCCATCAGAGAAATGCAAATCAAAACCACAATGAGATACCGTCTCACATCAGTTAGAATGGCGATCATTAAAAAGTCAGGAAACAACAGGCGCTGGAGGGGATGTGAAGAAATAGGAACACTTTTACACTGTTGGTGGGACTGTAAACTAGTTCAACCATTGTGGAAGTCAGTGTGGGGATTCCTCAGGGATCTAGAACTAGAAATACCATTTGACCCAGCAATCCCATTACTGGGTATATACCCAGAGGATTATAAAACATGCTGCTATAAAGACACATGCACACGTATGTTTACTGCGGCACTATTCACAATAGCAAAGACTTGGAACCAACCCAAATGTCCAACAATGATAGACTGGATTAACAAAATGTGGCATATATACACCATGGAATACTATGCAGCCTTAAAAAATGATGAGTTCATGTCCTTTGTAGGGACATGGATGAAGCTGGAAACCATCATTCTCAGCAAAGTATTGCAAGGACAAAAAAACCAAACACCGCATGTTCTTACTTATTGACAAAAGAACACATTGACACAAGAAGGGGAACATCACACACCGGGGCCTGTTGTGGGGTGGGGGCAGCGGGGAGGGATAGCATTAGGAGATATACCTAATGTTAAATGACGAGTTAATGGGTGCAGCACACCAACATGGCACATGTATATATATGTAACAAACCTGCACGTTGTGCACATGTACCCTAAAACTTAAAGTATAATAAAAAAAACTAATATTACATAATTCCTAGTAAGCATCATAAAGTGAAATAAGATCAGAGAATCTTCCTCCTTATTATCTATCAAAGAAAACAAAAAAGAGTTTTGAAATACAGCAAAAAAAAAATTCATGAGCAGAAACTTTAGGAAAGGGCACAACTTCAAGCCAGAATGTTGTAGCAAAGAAAAAACAGATTTTTAGTAAAGCTAGGTATGAGTCCTAATCTTACCCCCGATGGTGAAGGACAAAATCCTGAGAATTCTTAATAATACTCAACTATTCGAAGAGAAGGAAGTGAACCTGGAGGGAAATAGTGAAGAACTATACAGTGAACTGTCCTTTCTCTTTCTCTCTGCTCTATGCTAGAATGGAAGATTAAAACATATTCAGAGGGTATTCTCCCAACATGAAAGGAACGAAAGACCTTTAAACTGCTTTCTTTAAAAAAAAAATTACTTGTAGTCAAAATGCAACCACAGAAAAAAGTTACTTAAAGAACTAATGGGTGCAGCACACAAACATGGCACATGTATATATATGTAACAAACCTGCATGTTGTGCACATGTACCCTAAAACTTAAAGTATAATAATAATAAAAAAATTAAAAAATGGCAGCACATAAAAAAAAAAGAACTAAGGAATGGCTGGGCGTGGTGGCTCACGCATGTAATCCCAGCACTTTGGGAGGTCCAGGCGGGCAGATCATGAGGTCAGGAGATCGAGACCATCCTGGCTAAGACAATAAAACCCCATCTCTACTAAAAAATACAAAAAAATTAGCCAGGTGTGGTGGCAGGTGCCTGTACTCCCAGCTACTCAGGAGGCCTGAGGCAGGAGAATGGCGTGAACCCAGGAGGAGGAGCTTGCAGTGAGCCGAGATCGCGCCACTGCACTCCAGCCTGGGAAACAGAGCGAGACTCCGTCTCAAGAAATAAAAAAAAAAAAAAAGAACTAAGGAATAAAGCCCATAAAATTGTGGTGGCAAGCTCTGAATCTATTTAAGTGCAGAAGCAATGCTTTTTAAGAAGAGGGAATTATGGTTACAGAACAGAATATACAGAATATAAATATCATAGACCTTGATAATGTTCAAAGAACAAAACGAACACAAATCAGAAGGGCAAGGGAGCTGAGATGGAAATAAACATATGAAGTTAATTTTCTCATCTTTCACAGGTAGGAATAAGTCAATACTATCTAAAATGGAAACAAAGTTTTAAAATATAATGATTTTAATTTCTTAATGTCTTTCAAAACCATTTTAAACACTTGAGACAATATTCCTTAAGGAGCCCTCTACTGATGAAAAACACTTATCAATAGTTCCATAATCCCTCTAGTTTCACATCAGTTTCATTTTCTTCTATTAAACTCAAATAACATTAGATATCTTTACTATAAAGTAGTACATACAATATGACATGTCCACTAATCCATTCATTCCCCTAACTCTACACATCCATATGAGTGCAAAGATCACAAGTGTGGTGGTCATCTAAATTAACTTCTGAGTAGACGGATTAAGTGACTTCTTAAAACTTTTCCTTCATACTTGGCTGCAATGTTTGGATTACTTATAATACACATGCACCACTTTTATATTTTAAAAAAGACATACTGAATGAGAATATCTACTAAAGATTTTACATGTGCTCAACACAACCCTTCAACTTTTCGGAGAGAACAGTTTGCTGATCACCATCACCTAGTGTCTCTACAACATTCTTTCAGGCTAATGGTAAGGAAACTGGAGCATCAGAAATCCTATGGTTCTAATATCTACCAACTTTTAAAATAGTGATCAAAGCATTCATAAAAGAGGTCTTTTCTTAGCCATGATGTGGTCTTTGTGATCTGTGAGTGCTCACCAAGACCCAGAGTTCATTATTACTACCACAGAATATTTTCACTTACACAATGCTCTATTTGGGTTTCAATGCAATAATATATGAAGGCATTAAAATGTCATTTAATGAACAGTCTATCTTCTATTCTACCTTTAATAAAGAATTATTCCTAAATCCCTCAAAATGAAAAAAAGGGAAAAGCTATAACTGTCATTCATCTAGTAAAACATGCATCTATAAATCAAAACTTAACAAATTTTATGTTAAAATAAGACACATACCTTTTGCAATTATACAGGCAGTAGAAAGCAAATAAAAATATAAAATAAGACACATACCAACAGAGGTGCTTTCATTGTCTTAATAAACAGGTGAATGTTCAGTGTAGTCAATGGCTGTTCCATTAGTGTTCTTCTACATTGCTGGGTCAAGTCCAAGACTAGTTTACAATGAAAAAAGTAGAGATGTGCATATTCCACATCCTCAGAGCTACAAATTAAAAATTAATTAACTTAATGAAGTTCAATATGTGATCCTTCTACCATCCAATAAGCTGTAACAATGAATTTTGTCTTAAGTCTCATGCTTTTGAATTATTATTTTGGTAAAAGCCTGAAAGAGTATAAAATTAAATGAACTTGGGCAACAAAGAAGATATAGAATATTAAAGAAAATTAACCTTAATATCTGAACAAACCACACGAGTTGTATAAACAATTTTTTTTTGCTTACCTCTTTAATATGGTAGTTTCTAAATTATAATAGGTTATAGGCAAGCCTATAACCTTTCTTCCATAAAAAGCTGTCACCTTGCGGACAATGAGATTATCTTCAAATACAGTTGCTTTTCTAGAGCTATGCTAAATGAAGCTTTGTAACGCAAATTTTCTAAATTTAATTTAAACCCAAAGCTGTTTTGAATAAACTTCAGCCAAAACATTCTAAAATAGAAACCATGTGACAGTTTGTGGGAGTTTGTGAGTTTGTATCTGAAATATTACAAAACTCAGCAAATATGGCTTATAATTTGAGCTTTCGCATTCCCTTCAGCATGAGAATTCAAAGATAAACTTATAGTGGAGATAAGGTTTGCCAAAATTAAAATAGCATTTTAGAAATATCCATATGGCATTAGTAGGGTTTGGCAAAATACTACAAAATTTTATTTTTAAAATGCTATTTTAATTCTTGAGACATATTTAAACTGAGCTGACAAGGTTCACTGATTTCAAATTTAATTACCAAGTAATTTCTAATCAATTCAATGATTAAAGAAATAGTCAAAGATTTACTTAATCCCTACTATGGTTTAAGCCCTGTGCTAAACACAACAGATAAAGGTAAATAAAACAATTACATCCTTGAAAGAGATATAGTCAAACAATTAAATTGTAGTTTGTAAGTGCTATAATATGCAAAAATACTATAAGGAACAAGGAAATATTTCTTTGTGCTTCAAATTAGGAAGGAGAAGGAAGGGGAAGAAAACGGAGATTATCGCAGAGCTTAAAAAACAAAAAGGGAGAGAATTCCCCCTCCAATAAGATAGGACAAATGAGCATTTCAAACAAAAGCTAAGATGCAATGAAAGCATATAACTTGTTGAGGAGATTCCTGAATAGTCACATACTGCTGAAAGGAAAGTGTTGAGTGCAGGAGGTCCTAGTTAAGGCTGGACTCCATAACACAGCCTCTGAAACAACAGAATAATGTTGGAAAATTATTTTATCAGGGATCATTTGCTTGCAGATAACGGAAAACAAAAACAGTGAAACTTATTTGAAGTTTATAAGAGAATCTCACAGAATATAAGGAAAATTCAAATAATTGGATCAGAGAAAAGTCAGAGAATAAATGTAGACACCCAAACAGCAAGCGTTCAGGGAACTTCGTTTGCCATATTAACACTTTTCAGCTCTCAATTCAATCTGGGAAGACACCTTTCTGTTTTACTTATAAGTGGGCAAAACATTCCTGTGAGCAAAACAGCTACCATGTTGTATAATCCAGTTTTTCCATGTCCAATTCTAAGTTCCTGGGAGAGAGGATCTCTCATCTCTCTCACTTGCTCAAGTAAGCCAGTGGACTGGCGGGCCCTAGGTCAGGTGTCCACCTCTGATTTAATGGATTGTGACATGTATGGGGCATGGGTAATACCCTTCTTGGCCCACAGATTCTTTAGGAAGGGAATATAGGGAAGTAGCAGAAAGTACTGGAGTCTATGGCATGCTATCTCTTTTACTACCTATCATAAATGCTTTTCTTAACAAATAATTTCAAACACACTCAGATCCAATATGATATAGCAATTAATATACTAGCCTTAACTGATGTTATAAAGCCAGAAACTAGAATAGTGTCTACATCACATAGGAAGCATTCAATAAATATTTGCTGAATGAAAGAATTAACAAGTGAAAGAAAGAATGTATTCACCTCACTCCTATTAGGAGATAACCCAAATAGCCAACTACTTTATCCAAAAGTGATATCACAGCACCACTGTATTCAGAATCCATAGTCTTTCCCTGTCACCTCAGGTCCAGGGATGACTCATCACCATCTTGTTACCCATGAAGAAATGATATTCCAAACTTCCCCAATACATCATATATTCAAAAGCAAACGAAAAACAGGATAAGAAGATAACTGTGCATTTTTAAATTCCCATTTAAAAAATGGGAAAAGCAAAAAAATCTTACAGAAAAATACCATGCCTTAGTCTTAGATCAGATATATACATATTCTGTGTGTGTGTGTGTGTATATACATATATATACAGTATATATACACATATATATTATATATATAACTTACTGAACAGGATGTGTAAGGTAAATAATAGGACCTATACCTTGCCAATAAATAACCACCTCTTTATGTTTTAATATCACTATTATTTGCAATTATTCATTAACTAAAAAATATAGAGGCTGGTAAGATGAGAGAATACAAACAACTAACCCTCAGAGAAACTGCGGGGCTAGCATGCAATCACTGTGGTATGGAGAATAACAAGGCTTCACCCATTCCAGGATGGGAAATCAGCAGTACAGACAAACAGTGAGCATGCATCCATTTTATTTAACTCATTAATGACAAAATCAGCAGAATGAGACAGGTCAATAAGGAGAGACTAATGGAAAAAGGAATGCTGGTCAATGTCATACAGAGCAATAAAAACATAACTTCTCTTTGTAGAAACTTTCTTCTCTGCCTACTCTCCTTCCCTCAAAAGTCATTTCACCTTATCAGTTTGCTATGCCCTAGCCTCTAAATGTAGAGCTGTAAAACATCTGGGCTTTAAACTTTTGTGTGTGGCATATCATATAGCTGCTGTTTCCTGAGAGGTCAGCAGGAGAGCTCATTAAAAACTCTTGGATGGCATTAAAAGGTCATACAATCACCATTGTGCCCTGTTTTGGATTAATTTTCCTGAAGAGCATTTTGAAGTCAAACAAAAAAGAAAGAAAACTTTAACCCTAGGTTGCCCAGCCAAAAAGTGTGGAAAGTAGGCTTCTACCTAAAATTGTAAACTAGACAAGAAAAATCAACATTCAAACATTCTGTTCAAAAACTGTACCTAAATACATTTAAGATTATTATGACAAAGTAACTTACAAGAGTCTCACAAAGAACTTCTGAAGCCTCATTTTGAAAGCTGTTATTTTACCCCCTATCTGATCACCGCAGGAGAACCATTCCTAAGATATCCCGCTTGGCCACTCACATCTTGTGGCTTATCCACACTGCCTTCGTTACCTTAGTCTAACATCACTTCGGTATATTTTAAGACTGTAATACAGCAGACTATAGTAATAAAGGGGATTTCAGGTTTCATTTATATATTCACATCTGCTATGGTTCCTTTATCTAAGCCCATGCTGTGGGAGCATAATGGAAATGCTAAGTAATGCGAAATAAGTGAAGAAGAAAAAAAAAACCTTTAAATTGTTGACATATGCTTTTTATACATACCCAATACTTTCCAAAAGGGCAATTTCTGTGGTTAAGACAAATTGGTATGTAGTCCCATACACAAAAGCGGCTTCCATGACTGCTCTGTGCTCTGAAGAAGAGATAAAGGGAGTTGGAAGACAGGAAAAAATAGTTTGTGTGACTCTATGTAAACTTCTATTCTGAATATTATCCTACACTCCTTTATGTTCTACTATATTTAAAGAAAAATCCTTCACAGGGATACTAGTTGGGAAAATGCAGGCAGTTAAAAGAAGTTATAAAAAGTCTATTCTATTCAAGGTAAGAGAAGAATTCAGAGGGAGTAGAAAATGAGTTTTTACTTGAGAATATAATATACAACAAACTTGTGGTAGTTTCTTTCTAGTAGTAGGGAAAAGAATATGAATCCACCATACAACTTTCATGTTAGGTTTTATTTGTGTATGTGTCTGTGTATATTATTTCTGGGTTAGTTTTTTTAATCAAACTTACACTGAAAGAAAACAATAATTTTACAAGGCATATAATATACAACAAACTTGTGGTAGATTCTTTCCAGTAGTAGGGAAGAGAATATGAATCCACCATACAACTTTCATGTTAGGTTTTGTGTATGTGTCTGTGTATGTTATTTCTGGGTTAGTTTTTTTTAATCAAACTTACACTGAAAGAAAACAATAATTTTACAAGGCATATTAATAGCCACTCCCCCACCCTCTACTGCATTTCCAATTCCCAAGGGACAAGCACTTTCAACTCATTTCTTCTTCTCTTATTTCTTTTATCTCAACTCTTTATTTCATACATATGTGTGTGTGTGTGTGTGTGTGTGTGTGTGTGTGTGTGTGTATCATATATAACTTAATATATATAATAAGAGTTTTAGTATTATCTGTTGACTTCCTACTGTGGAAGATGACAAATCATCTCTTTCCTGAAACTCAGCTCCACAAATGTAAACATATCCCATCCCAACTCTCCCAATATAGTTCTAACTTTTATTAGATCAGTATTACTTTGTTGACTCAGTAAATACTATTTGCAGAGAAGCCATATGGTACAGAATGGCCACTTTCCCTTTTTGAGAAACTTCTTCACTATAGTTTTAACTATCTTTTTAAAAATTTTGTTTTTCTTTTCTAATTTCTTCCTAAACTCTTCCACAATTTTCTAACTCTCTCAATACTTCAAATATATCAAGTATACTATCAAATCAATCTTCTTGTAAACATTTCTGCAGAGCCTTCTGATTTGCTCCAATATGAACTCTTGCTACCTAGCCTGCTGCACAACTGCCATCCTGAGGATTCTCTTACTCCCTCTCTTGTGTTGGGTCCTTTTTGCCTGTTATCCAATATCGTCTTCTTTATTGCTTCCTTGTGCCCATTATCTAACACCTTCCTGTGAGAGGACATATGAATAGACAACTTTTGCAGTCCTGCACATCTGAAAGCATCTTAATTTTATTTTCAAAATTAACTATAGTTGGCTGGGTACAGAATTCTAGGTTCTAGTCATTTCCCATTTCCCCTGAGAATTCCGAAAACACTGCTCCATTTCCTTCCATTTCTAGTACAGCAATTTAAGAAGTTCGATGCTATTCTCATTCTCAATCCTTGAACTGCAAACTCTTCTTTCCTCTCTGGAAGATTTTAGAGTAGTCTTTTTATCTAATATTCTAAAATTTCAAAATAGGACGTCTTAGTGTGGCTCTGTGGTATTCCACTATGCTGGGACTCAATGGGTCCTTTCCATCTGGCAGCTCAAATCCTTCAGTTCTGGGAAATTTTCTTGAAGTATTTCTTTGATGATTCCTCCTTTTCAGGTTTTATTTTCCCTTTTCTCCTCACTGTCATTTCCAGACAATTATCTTCCCATCCCCCACATACTCTCCTAGCACTTGAACTGCATATCATCAGATCATTCCACTCACCACCCTACCTTGGAGTCACCCAAAACACCCCAGCCAGGATCACTTCCCGTCATTCCATGAAGAATTTAGCTTCTGTCACACTGTCACTCTCTCTAGTACTACTCCTGTCATAATCCTTGGGAATTTTATTATTATCCAGGTAGATCATCCTTTCAAAATCCCAGCCTCTCAGGCCTTGGCCTTCTTTATTCCAGTCATCCTTCTTCAATCATATCTTAACCACTAACTCTACACCTTGCAATCACCAATTAACGCAATCCCCTCCATAATTTCCCTCCTCCCCCACACAAACACACATCTCCAGCTCACTCTGTATAGCACACAACTCTAACCCATCAAGACCTACAATCCATAGGTCCTCCCGCTCTGGTCTTCTCTTTCCCTCTAATTAAGCTTAAATTCCCTGGTCAATCTTTATAATAATTTCCCTGCCCCGTTTTTTAGGCTAAAAAATGTAATCCAGGTTAACTCAGTGCTCAGCCTGTTCAATACTTACAGCTGCAAAAGGAAACATAGCTGGGGAGAGGGGGAGGGAAGCCAAAACAAGCTAGCATCACCAAGCTAATGGTGTCACTTTAAATTGCTGATATTAACTATTATTGCTGCCTAACAACCATTCTTTATTTCCAGGCCTCCGAAATAGCTCTCTCAACTCTTCCCTCAAATTAGCTGATGATTTTGTGTCTATTTCACTGAGAACAAACAACCAATTAAAAAACAAACCAAAAAACGTTTATAAACTCTTAGCACCATATCTACCCACCCACTTGGCTGAATGGATGTCCGCATTTTCTCATCCCTCTGGTTACCAGAGATGAACCTTCTGTGCTCCCACCCAAGAACAACCCCTGCCCTTGTTCGCTACATTCCATCCTCTCTTGCCTACTCGAAAACTTTGCTCCACCAACTCCCCCCTTTTTCCTGTGTGAGGCATTTCCCCTTTCCTACCACATCTTTCTCGTTAACATACAAATATGCTTTTCAAAAAATTATTCTCCTAACTCCATATATTCTTCCAGCCAGTGCCCCGTTTTTCTCCTTCCCAATAGCAAAACTTTTCTAACAAGTCTCCGTGTTCGGCCTTCAATTGCTCTCTACCTCTTCTGTCTTATATCCCTCCTATCAGGCATTAAACCCCTACCACTCTACAGAAACTGTGCTTGTCAAGGTCACCAGTAACTTCTATACTGCTAGGTAGGCATAATGGCCACTTGGCACTTCTGACGTTAAATCAACCTTTCAGCATCATTTAACACAATTGTTCCTGCTCTCTTCCTTAAAACTCTATCTTTACCTTGCTTACTGGGCACTTCTACCACATTCATTCTGTCTCCTTTACTGGTTCATCCTTACCTTACTGATCCATAAATGTTGAAGTATCTAATAGGTTCAGTCTTCTCTTTTCCATCTAGACTCACTCAGTGATCTCTTCTGGTCTCACAACTTTATTTCTCAAATTTACTTCCCTAGTCCATACTCCCAACATGAAATGCAGTCTAGTAATACCCAACTACCATACTCATATCTCTATTTGAATGTCTTTTGGGAATTTCATAAGTATGATGTCAAAAAGTGAATTCCAAGAGCTTCCTCTCCAAATTATCTATTCCCAGTCTTCTGAACCTCAGTTGCTAGCAAATTCAACTTTCAAGTAGCTCAGGCTGAAACCCCAGAACCAACCTTGTCTCCACTATTTCTCAATCTATATCCAATAGATCAGCAAACTCAGTTAGCTTTACTTCCCAAACACTGCTAAAATTCAAATTTATTGCCACCTCCACTGCCATCACCCTGGTCCAAGCCACCCAGCATCATCTCTTGCTTGACTTATTGCAATAACTTCCTATTTTTCTCCCTTACTCTATCTTTGCTCCTTCCAATCTAAGTTAGTCAACATTATTTACTGAATACTGGAAACTACTATACCAGGTAAAGGAGGGCTATAAGGAAATTAAAAAAAAATAGCTAACACTTTCAGAGTACCTACTACACTCTAGGAACCATTTAATTATTCATTTAATTATTTAATTAAAATAATTTATTTTAATTATTCATTAAAGTTCATTTGATTCTCACAATTACACTAACAGGTAGGCACAATTTATTTTCCCCATCTTAATCACTAGGAAACTGAAGTTAAGTAACTTGTCCAAGGGCTCACTACAAATAATCAGTATGGCAGAAAGTCTAACCTAGAGAGTTCTTATTCAACCACTGTATTACGCTGCCCATTTAAAGAAAAATAGCTTAATAGTAAAGATGCTTTAGATTTATTTTAAATATTACGACTGTAGTCAAAAAAATACACTATTTTAAGTACTTCAACATACATAAGTACAGAGGCACAGCAAAGATTAAAGCAAAAGTTAAAGAATACCTGGTATTCCAATGGCTCTTACATATGAGAATATAATATTTGCTTTTCCTTTCAGAGCATTTTCTATGTTCTGAAGGTCTTCCAGGTTGGTAATATATTTCACTTCACTAAAAAGAAGAGCACTGAAATAAATACAGATATAATTAGTAGAAAAATCTGATATGTATTTAGTTACACCACACTTCTGTTAAAGAACCTAACCAAAAGAGAAATATATCTCCATTGAATAAATTATCAGTAGTAATAATGTAAGCATTTTAATAATACTAAATTAGAATCACTCTCCAGATCATTAATCTGTCTCTGAGAACATCAACCAGGGACAGTTGTGAGACAATGTTCATTATGTATTACAACGGTCTCAACAGATTAAAACTGTATTCACTAACACCCTAGTCTGGCCAAATATTCCCACACAGATCTCTCAGCCTTGAACACATTTAAGCCCTTCACAAACCTAAACAGCAGGCTTCTTTGCATGGCCTATAAGGTCTGACAAGACCTAGACCTTGTCTACCTCTCCAACCTCATTTTGCTCTACCATTCCTCATGTTTACAACATTCTAGGCAAACCTCAGAGCCTCTGCACACAGTTTTCTTTGCTGGAAGCTATTCCTTTTGCTCCATTTCATAAGTATGATCTCAGATTAAACATCGTTGCCTCAGAGAAGTCTTCTCTGTTGGTCCTGTGTAAGTAAGCCTGTAGCATTTTCCTCTCATTTCAGTAGTTGATTCCTTTATAGTACTTATTACAACTTATAATTATTTATATATTTATTTACTTATCTCCACCTTTCTCATTAAACCCTCATGCCCTTGAGGCAAGGATTTTGCATATTTTATCACTATATCTGTAAAAACTTATAATACAGCCTAGTACACTATATTCAATAAACATTTATTGAATGAATGAAAGAAAAAGTAGGGCAGGAATTTTACTCCCATTCTTTATTTGAAGAAATGGAAGTTCAAAACACTGAAGAGTTTACTCAAAAACGCATTTATTGAATCAAGAAGCCAGGGACAGAATACAGAACAGGTGTTCTCAGTCCTAGTCCAGTAATCTTTCCACTTGACCATAATTCTTCCGAATCATCCTTTCAGTGTATAAATCAGACTGATCATATTTATTCATCCAAAATTATCCCTTTTTTAAAGTTGTCTACTTCTGGCCGAGCACAGTGGCTCAAGCCTGTAATCCCAGCACTTTGGGAGGCCGAGGCGGGCGGATCACGAGGTCAGGAGATCAAGACCACGGTGAAACCCCGTCTCTACTAAAAATAAAAAAATTAGCCAGGCGCAGTGGCGGGCACTTGTAGTCCCAGCTACTCGGGAGGCTGAGGCAGGAGAATGGCATGAACCCGGGAGGAGGAGTTTGCAGTGAGCTGAGATCACGCCACTGCACTCCAGCCTGGGCGACAGAGCGAGATTCTGTCTCAAAAACATGAAATAAAATAAAAATAAAAATAAATAAAGTTGTCTACTTCTATATAAATTCTCTACCCCTAACAACTCATTCCACTTAATCCCCATGTGCATAAGTATGTATTTTTGATAGGCTAAACTTCAAAAAATTTTGAAAACTTTTCAAAATTTTCATGTTGCAGGTCCACATACTTAAATAAACAAAGGTTCACTCAAATACTTCAAATAAATTAGTCAAACATCATTTCCTCCTATAAAGTTTTTCCTAATACAGCAGTTCTCAAACTTTTTGGTCTCAGGAAACTTTTATATCCTTTAAATTTATTGAGGTCCTCAAGGAGCTTTTATGTAAGTTATATTCATCAATAGTTGCCAAAATAGGAATTAAAATAGGAATTTTAAAATATTTATTAACTCTTTTAAAAATAAACATCATTACATGTTAACATAAATACTTTTTATTTAAAAAAAAACTATAATTTATAAAACCAAAGGAAAACTTAGTGAGAAGAATGGTGTTTTACTTTTTTTTTTGAGACGAAGTCTTGCTCTGTCGCCCGGGCTAGAGTGCAGTGGCACGATTTCAGCTCACTGCAACCTCCCCACCCTGGGTTCAAGTGATTCTTCTGCGTCAGCCTCCCGAGTGGCTGGGACTACAGGCGTGCACCCCCACGCCTGGCTATTTTTTTTTTTTTTTTGTATTTTTAGTAGAGATGGAGTTTCACCATATTGGCCAGGCTGGTCTCAAACTCCTGACCTCATGATCCGCCCACCTCGGCCTCCCAAAGTGCTGGGATTACAGGCGTGAGTCACTGCGCCTGGCCTTGTTTTACATTTTTGCAAATATCTTTAATTCGGACTAAATAGAAGACAGCTGGATTTTCATTTCTGCTCCTGTATCTAATCTGTTGTGACATCACACATCATGTAGCCTCTAGAACCCCAATTCATGAGGGAATGAAAGTGAAAAAGCCAAATAATGCCTTAGTATTACTATAAAAATATTTCCACTCAGTGGGCACCCTGAAAGCACTGTCCTAAATTATGCTGGCTTAAATATTTACCCATTCATTACAGATTTCTTCCACTTTTTAAAAGAAATGTAAAACTTGATCTTCTATCATTCCCAGGGCTCTTGTTTTGTTTTTATAAGAAATACTTACTGAGCAGTATTCACTATGTGCTAGGTATTTTCAGGTTTTCATTTAACCTCTCAACAATACTTCTGGAACAGTATTACACACATATTCACACACAGGCAACAATCTGAGAGACTAAGTAACCTGCTCCAAATCATACTTCTAGTTGCTGGCAGAGCTTCTGACACCAAGGCCAGGATTTTCTAAATTATATTACTGACCACTTATAAAAATGGGAAACCAGGTGGAAAGGTGGCAACTAAAGAATGGCAATGGAGTCTCAGTGGCAAGCTGAGCTATTGGCTGCCTATACATTTTGGCTAACAAGTCCAGAATCACTCTTCAGTTACTTCAAAACAGTTGGGAGGTACAATCTAGTTAACTTAATTGGACTACCATGTAAATTCTAGGCTTGGAAATTACATTCACCTAGTCATGACTTTTATTGTTTTATTATCTCCAACGTGTTTGCTTCAAAAATTAAGTCTGAGTATACAACCCTCCCCAACCATTGTTTGCAATAAAGACTGGCAAATATTTATTAGGTACTTACCACATGCCAGGCATAGTACTAAGCACTTTATAAATAGTGGCAATTTATCAATTTGGGGGCTGCCCACTCCCTTTTGCTTTGTCCAGTTTTCTAAGTCTTCAAGGTAGGCAGAGCCCAAGTGAAAGCTGATATTATCAACCTTGCTTTCCCAGGCTCCTTGCTACAAGGCATGACTATCTGACAAAGAATCACTTGCCTGAGATTCTGAAGCAGGGGCAGGCGATACCAAGAACAAGGAACAGTAAAGAATTATTTCAAGAAGCAGCGGCAGTAACAGCTGGCTTCAAAGGTAGCAATGACAATTGTTAGTCACAGCCCCAATGCAGGTAGTGCAAGCTGTAGTATCCAATGCTCAGCAATAATGCAGCTGTCCTCCTCAGACCCACTCTGTGTCATAATTTTCACTGTATGCAGAGCTGTCTAACCTTTGAGTCCAGTTCTCTAGCCCTTCTATCAAGGCTGAGATTTCCTATATCCACTCCAAATCCTTTTCTGCTTAAGCCAGTCAGACCCAGATTCTAGGGCTTATAACTAAAAACCCTCAGCAATGCACTCTGTCTTGTTTAATTTTCATGGCAACCATCTGAAAGCAGAACTATCATTAACCCCATTTTAAAGATAAGTTCATGGGGCTTAAAGAGGTTACCCTGCCTAATGTCCCAAAGCTCATTAAGTAGTCATTATCCATGACATAATAATAACCAAAACTAATGACATTCATAATGTAATGATCCCTATGATTTTTCCCAATGGCTTCCTCACTTTAATATATTCCTTAATATATTCATTTTCAGAATATGAGGATCCATTCCACAGCCTGTGCTCCCTTACTCCAGTTCCAAAGAGGAGAAATACTGACAAAAATGGGTTAAAGGAAAAGTCTCTCTTGGGATTTTCTTGCTCTGTTGATGGGGTAAAACAGCCTGGGGCTGCTCTAACTAGGTTCTTCCTGTCCCAGAAAGGCCTTCATTTTCTTTGGCATGCTTTTCCTGAGATTTTCCTGCAGTAACTATTAGTTGGATAAGATATTTGGTCAAGAATTGAGTGGGTGTCAGAAAGAAAAACAACAAAGGGTCTACCTGACCCTACTTTTAGAGCAGCAAGCAACTCAATCTTTTCTGAGATACAGACAATTTTTGTATTACATTTCTGTCATCATTCAAATTCTTAGAACACAACAAAAAGGAAAATGTAAATGTTTTACCATACCAAAACCCCCAGGAAAAAAAAGACAGAGAGAAATAAATTACTTTTATCTAAATTAATTACTGTGTATTATGACTGGGCAGATTCACATATAAAAAGAAATATCCCAAAGTCTTTTAATAAGTATTTCTAAATTAACATAGATTAAAAACAAACCAAACAGGTAGAAGCCACCTCTTGAGAGTACAATAATAAAGTTCACAAATATCATTCTTAGTCTTTTGTCATAAATTATATATTCTCCTAATAGCTTGCTTCTTATAAAATTCTTACTACTAGAAATAATTTTATGACCTTAAAATTTAAGAGTATTTCTGATCTTCCCATTTTTAACAACCAAAAAGTAAAACTTCCAAATTCATCATCCACAAATCCAAAATTTAAGCACCTAATATATGTCATGTACCACATATGTACTATAGAAGCACTTTGTATAAAAATTTGCAGTTTGGAGATAAAACCATTAATACCAATTAACAGAGCTGTGAGGAATTCAAATCCAAGAAAAGCAATTTTTTCTTATAATTTCCCAGTAAAAAGTATGTCATTATCGAACAGGAACCCACCTGACAATATTGTGTAGGAACAAATCTGATACAGATAAAAGAATGAGCAATCGCTCAATGCCTATTCAGGAGAGAACAGCATGGGCACAGTTCAGGAGTTTTAGAGGAGGACAGCTGTAAAAGTAACTTTCCCCCGAGGTTCTACAGTAACAATGCCTAAACACTCAATCCTTACGCTCTGCAATAATGTGTTAAAGAATAAAATATTAGTGGAAACTATGACAGTTAAAAATAATTCTTCTAATACTTGAAGTTCATGTTATGAGTAGTATGTTAACATAAAGGGAAAGGAATTTCTATTTTCTGACAAAATACAGTATTGTCACAAGAAGTAGTACCATATCTTAATAAAGAGTTAATGAGATTTCACTGTTTCTTACTGGATTATCTTTTCTTTTTGCATCATTTGATGATTTTTTTCTTTTGCATCATTTGATTTTTTATTTTTATTTTTTTGAGGGTCTTGCTCTGTCACACAGGCTGAACGGCAAAATCATAGCTCACTGCAGCCTCGAGCTTCTGGGCTAAAGCCATTATCCTGTCTCAGCCTCAGTCTGAGTAACTAGGACAACAGGCACACATCACCATGCCTGGCTAAATTCTAAAAACGTTTTGTAGAGACTGGGGTCTCATTGTATTGCCCAGGCTGGTCTTGAACTCCTGGCCTCAAGTGATCCTCTTTCCTTAGCCTCCCAAAGTGCTGGGATTACAGTGTGCGCCACCTCACCTGGCCTGAGGATTCTTAGGAATCAACAATGAGTACAGGTAAAGAAGAATGGGCTGGGCGTGGTGGCTCACTCCTGTAATCCCAGCACTTTGGGAGGCTGAGGCGGGAGGATCACCTGGGGTCCGGAGTTTGAGACCAGCCTGGCCAACATGGTAAAACCCTGTCTCTACTAAAAATACAAAAAATTAGCCGGGCATGGTGGCAAGCGCCTGTAATCCCAGCTACTCGTGAGGCTGAGGCAGGAGAATCGTGTGAACCCAGGAGGTGGGGGTTGCACAGGGCCAAAATCACGCCATTGCACTCCAGCCTGGGCAACATGAGCGAAACTAAAAAAAAAGAATGGCCTTTCATTGCAACTGCTGCCTCATGGCAAATATCCCCACCAACTGCCACACCATGAACTCACATTTGTTTTTTCTTCTTAACTGATAAATAAAACTTCCTGCATTTATATATATATAAAATAAATAACATTTTAGAGCACTGGGCAAAATCCGTAACACATTATTTTCACGTGTTATTTTGATCATCGCAATAATCTCATGAGGCTGCAAGTATAACACATAAGAATGAGGAAAATAAATATAAATTGCTCATATTCTCAATCAATAAAAATTAGTTGGGCCAGGCACGGTGGCTCACACCTGTAATCCCAACACTTTAGGAGGCCGAGGTGGGCGGATCACAAGGTCAGGAATTTGAGAACAGCCTAACCAACATGGTAAAACCCTGTTTCTACTAAAAATACAAAAAAAAAAAAATTAGCCAGGTATGGTGGCGCATGCCTGTAATCCCAGCTACTCAGGAGGCTGAGGCAGGAGAACTGCTTGAACCCAGGAGGCGGAGGTTGCAGTGAGCCAAGATCGCACCACTGCACTCCAGGCTGGGCGACAGAGTGAGACTCCATCTCAAAATAATAATAATAATAATAATAATAATAATAATAATAATAATAATAAATAAAAATTTGTTGTTACTTTCCTTTTCTAAATACAATCATCTCTCAGTATCCTCAGGGGATTGATATCCAGGATTGATTCTTGGATACCAAAACCCATGGATGCTCAAGTCCCATATAAAATGGCAGAGAATCTGCTATAACCTACACACATCTTCCTGTATACTTTAAATCATCTCTAAATCACTTACTTATCATACCTAATACAATGTAAATGCTATGTAGTTATATTATATTTAAAATTTTTTTTACTGTTGTATTGTTATATTTGATTGCCTTTTTCAAATATTTTTGATCCGCTTATGGTTGAATCCACAGATGCAGAACCTGTGAATATGGAGGGCCAACTGTATTACCATTCTTAACCCCATCTAGAAGCTGGGAAGTAAAATTTTCCTCACATAGTAAATGAACCACTCAATTTTACCACTTTTCACTTTGTATATTTAGAAGGCAGAGTTAAGAATTTTTAGACTATAAATCCAAATTCTCATTTTTAATTTAAATGTCATTTATTTTACAAAGTGGTAATACTTTTACAGGGTTCAAAACACAAAAGGTACCAAAAAAGTTAGAGTCTACTTCATCCTCCACCCCCAGCTTCCCCATATCATTCCTATCAACCAATATGTTCAGTTTTTGTGAAACCTTGTAATATATATGCCACATACATGTATACTACATGCATTTACATGTGCCCCTGTAGAAGGAAATCCTGTGTGGCTCTCCCAGTGCTCCTACACAGACCAAATCTCCTGAAGATCAAATCTAGCAAGATAGAAAAATGGAGAAGTCCCATTCTAAGCTTGTTTCCTTTTCTCCAGGAGCCATCTGCTTCCATTCAAAGAGAAATAAAACATATCTGTGATACTGTAAAATATGTATTTGGTCCCCAACCCTGTTTGCTGGCATGCAACTCCTGACATCCTTACAATCTCCACCAAACTGATGTCTTGTGTATGCTAATGTGCTGACTGATGGCTGGCAGACAGCTTCAGGATGAGGCCTGGTCACTAAAAGACCAAGGCATGATTAGAGGGTTAGGACTTTCAGCTCTAACCCTCAGTCTCTGAGGAGGAGCGAGGGGCTGAAGGTTAGTTGGTCACCAATGGCCAATGGTTTAATCAATCATATCTACATAACAAAGCCTCCATAAAACCGCAAAGGGAGAGGGCTTGAAGAGCTTCCAGATAGCAAAATGCACAGAAGTTCCTGAAGGGTGGCATGCCAGCGGAGGGCAGCATGCCAGGGGAGGGCATGGAAGCTCCACGCCCCTTTCCATGTGCCCTGCCCCATGCATCTTTTCATCTGTATCCTTTGCGATACTCTTTGTAATACACCAATAAATGTAAATAATTGTTTCCCTGAGTTCTGTGAGCCACTCTAGAGAAACAGCCAAGCCCAACGAGGGGCTTGTTGGAGCCATGAGAACCCCAATTTATAGCTGTTCAGACAAAAGCATAGGAGCTTCTGTCCTATCTGACTGGCATCTCAGGTAGGGGGCAGTCTTGGGGACTTGGCCTTCAACACATGCAGGATCTGATACTATCTTCAGGTAGGTACTGTCAGAATTGAATAAGAGGACACCCCGCTGATGTCAGCTACAGAGTTGGTGTGTGGAGAAGACTCCTCAAACATCTGGTCACAGAAGTATTCTACGTTTTGTGAGAGCAGAGGAAAAATGATTTTTGTTTTTTTCACACACTATCTTCTCTTCCCCAGAGTCAAATGCTTATATTTAGTGATAGGGGCCTTCCTCTTCTGCTCTTATATTCCACAGTAAAAGATAAGCACTTTATCTTCAGAGAGGAAGAGTAAGTGTGCCAGCTCCTATATAAACTCGGAGATTAATAATGTTGAAGTTCTCATTCTTCAAACCTTGCTATGTACAGGTATAAGCATCTGACTCTTGCCTTGTCATTCAGTAGAGAACTAGGTATGAGGATAGCGCTACCGTGCTACTCTGGCTGCTGTTATTGCCGTAAGGTCAATTCTCTAATTCAGAAGTCTTCTATGTGTGTATAACATATATATATTACACAGACTCACAAGTAGGGTAACAACTCAGACTCTTTGGAGTTTTGGACTTAACACCCCCTCTCCTATGTAAATAGTATGATGCTATGCCCTAACCATTTGATTTATTTCACTTACTACATCCTGCAAAATCAATCTGAGAAAATTTTAATAGATTGACAAGTCACTATATTTTAAATCAATGATGTTTCAGCAGTGTTGTAAATATCCTACCAAAAAAGGTACATAATTGACAATAATGGTCAAAAAATATGTTTCAAATATTAACAATTAGTATAAAGATCACCCTAAGTTTATACTTGTTATTCTATCTCAGATTTTACTAACTTAATTTTTTCTTCAATTCCATATTCTGAAGATAACAAATTATCTAAAACAATGATCTTTTCTGCTGACGAAGTAGCAAAGTTCAAGTATAACTGTAGGTCACTGGTCTCAAGCAAAACATTCTAAGTAAGGAACAACACAAATGCTTCGGGATAAAAGTAACAGCATGGGTTACACATTTTTAAAAAGCAAGCCAAATAAAGTAACACATATTCTCTAACGCAGGCTTTTAGTTCATAGACAAGTATTTTGAGAACAATCCAAACATCTGTAAATATTTCTCCTTATTAAGAATTAGGCTAAGTATTGGATTTAGGTCAAAAATAACTGACTAGTTAAATATATTTTAATATGTATGTCATTGAATTTTTGTAAATGGAGGCAATCCCAGGAAATTTTGACTTGCCTGTTTACTGACTAATAAAATGTAAATGTAGAAGAATTATATATGATATATATATACACAGCTCTTATGTACATATCTAATAGTAGATAACAGTATCTTAGAAAAAAGACAAGAATATAAATACAAAAAAATTGCTTAGTAGTAAGTCACAGTAATAATATCCTTATTATAAGTGAAATACTATTTTGTTTATTATTAATAATAGTTGTAACTAGTTCATTTTTCAATTTATAATAAAAATCTGTAAGGTCAAAAGACACAAAATTAGTATGCAAAAATCAATCTTTCATATACTGGTATATATATTATACCTAGGTATATATATATATATGTGTGTGTGTATATATATAATACCTATTATATATATTATCTATAATACCTATTATATATATTATCTATAATACCTATTATATATTGTCTATAATACCTATTCTATATATTATCTATATAATACCTATTCTATATAATCTATATAAAACCTATTATATATTTTATCTATATAATACCTATTATATATTATCTATATAATACCTATTATATAGCAATGACTTGTAACCAACCCAAACGTCCAACAATGATAGACTGGATTAAGAAAATGTGGCACATATACACCATGGAATACTATGCAGCCATAAAAAATGATGAGTTCATGTCCTCTGTAGGGACATGGATGAAGCTGGAAACCATCATTCTCAGCAAACTATCGCAAGGACAAAAAACCAAACACCGCATGTTCTCACACATAGGTGGGAATTGAACAATGAGAACATATGGACACAGGAAGGGGAACACACTGGGGCCTGTTGTGGGGTGGGAGGAGGGGGGAGGGATAGCATTAGGAGATATACCTAATATTAAATGACAAGTTAATGGGTGCAGCACATCAACATGACACAGGTATACATATGTAACAAACCTGCACGTTGTGCACATGTACCCTAAAACTTTAACTATAATAATAAAAAGAAAAAATACCTACTATATATTATATATAATGCCTATTATATATATTATATATAATGCCTATTATATATAATATATATAATGCCTATTATATATAATATATATAATGCCTATTATATATATTATATATAATGCCTATTATATATATTATATATAATGCCTATTATATATATTATATATAATGCCTATTATATATAATATATATAATGCCTATTATATATAATATATATAATGCCTATTATATATATTATATATAATGCCTATTATATATTATATATAATACCTATTATATATATACCTAGTATATATTATATAATAATTATATATGACACCTATTATATATTATGTATTATTACTATATATAATAAATACCTATTATATATAATATGATACCTATTATATATATGAATTATATATTATATATTATATATTATATAATATACATTATATATATTATATATATGAATTATATATTACATATTATAATACATATAACAATATGTAATATATAATTCATATATATAATATATATTATATATTATATGTTATAATTATTTTTATGTAATTTATTTATACATTATATTTATATATTATATATTTATATTATGCATTTATATATTATATATATTTATATTATATATATTTACATATTACAATTTACATATATTTTATATATAATTTATATATATTATATTATATATAAATATATTATATTTATATATATTATATTATACAGAATAATATATAATATTACATATAATAATATATAATATATATTATATAATATATATTATTATTTAATATATAATTATTATATATAATATTAATATATAATATATAATTATTTTTATATTATATATAATTATATATTATAATATAATATATATTATTATATAATATTATATATAATATTATAATATAATATATAATTATTATATAATATTATATATAATAATATATAATATATTATTATATAATAATATATATTATATATTATTATATATAATATTATATATAATAATATAATATATATTATTATATAATATTATATATAATAATATAATATATAATTATATAATATTATATATAATAATATATAATTATTATATATAATATATATAATATGTAGTATATATATGTGTGTGTATATACATATATATAAAAAATACCTAGGTATATATATGTGTATATATGTTACACCTCTTGCATAATAGATAAGATGTATATTTTTTACATATATAAGAACACATCAGTATATGTCTGTATACGTCAGTATGTCTCTGTGTATTAGAAGATAACAGAAGAAAAAATTCATTTACAATAGAAAAAAAGATATAAAATCTCCAGTAATAAATTTAAGTATGCAGGCATATATTTTTAAAAAGCATTAAAACACTACTAGAATCAAAAGAATGAAAAGACAAGCAACAAACTGGCTTGTCTGGGAGAAAATACTTGTGAAAAATATATCTGATGAAGCACTGTTACCCAAAATATACAAAACTCAACAAGAAAACAAACAACCCAATTAAAAAATGAACCAAAGACCTTGACCTCATCATAGATAGACAGATGGAAAATAAGCATATGAAAACATCCTCCACATCATAAGTCATCAGGGAAATGCAAATTAAAACAACAAAGAGATACCACTATATACCTATTATGCTAGCTAAAATATGGAACACTGACAACACTGACAAGGATGTGGAACAACAGGAACTTTCATTCATTGCTGGTGGGAATGCGAAATGGTACAGCCACTTTGGAAGGCAGCTAGCAACGTTTTATAAAACTAAACATAATCTTACCATACAGTCCAGCAATCACACTCCTTTCGTATTTACCCAAAGGAGTTGGAAACTTAGGACCACACAAAAACCTAAATATGGATGTTAATAGCAACTTCATTTATAATTGCCAAAACTTGGCAACCAAGATGTCTTTCAGTAGGTCAATGGTTAAACTGTGATATATCCATTCAGTGGAATATTATTCAGTGATTTAAAAAATGAACTATCAAGCCATGAAAAGACATGCAGAAACCTTAAATGCATATTACTAAGTGCAAGAAGCCAAGATGAAAAGGCTACATGCTATATGATTCCAATTGTATCACATCTGGAAAAGACAAAACTACAAAGATAGTAAAAAGATCAGTGGTTTGTAGGGGAGAGAGGAAGGGATGAATAGTTAGGCACAGAGCATTTTGGGGGTAGTGAATCTATTCTGTATGACACTAATGGTAGAAATGTGTCATACATTTGTCAAAACTTATAGAATGTAGAACACAAAGAGTGAAACTTCAATGTAAACTATGTACTTTAGTCAATAATATGTCAATATTGGTTCATCAATTGTAACAACTGTACCACACTAATGCAAAATGTTAATAATAGGGAAAATTATATATAAAGGAGGAGATATACTGGGATTTTCTGTACTATCTGCTCAAATTTCTGTAAATTTTTCAAGTTTCTGTACATCTAAAACTGCTCAAAGTCTAAGACTTTGTTTCTTAAAAATCCGAAAAATGGGTGAATTCATTTATAACAATGGAATAAGGGAAAGGTAGTACAACTTAAAATCCAGAAGTCAAAAAGAAAAAATAAATTTGACCACATAATTTTTTGAAGAACACAATAGGGAAATTCAAAAGACAAATGAAAAACTTGAAAAATTTTTACAGTTTGTGCTTTATATAAGGAGAGCTCCTAGAAATTAATAAAAATAAAGTTTAAGCTGAGTGTGGTGGTGTGCACCTGTACTCCCAGTTATTCCAGAGGCTGAGGTGGGAGGATCCCTTCAGGTTAGGAGTTTGAGGCCACAGTGTGATATAATTGCACCTGTGAATTGCCAGTTCACTCAAGCCTGGGGAATACAGCAAGACCCCATCTCAAAATAAATCAAGTTTAAAACATAATTTAAAAATGGACAAAAGTTGTCAAGCAACAGTTCAAATCTATTTTTTTTTTTGAGACAGAGTCTCAGTCTGTCACCCAGGTTGGAGTGCAGTGGCGCGATCTCAGCTCACTGCAAGCTCCACCTCCCGGATTCACACCATTCTCCTGCCTCAGCCTTCCGAGTAGCTGGGACTACAGGCGCCCGCCACCACGCCCGGCTAATTTTTTGTATTTTTAGTAGAGACAGGGTTTCACCGTGTTAGCCAGGATGGTCTCAATCTCCTGACCTCGTGATCTGCCCACCTCGGCCTCCCAAAGTGCTGAGATTACAGGCGTGAGCCACCGCACCCAGCCAGTTCAAATCTATTTTTATGAGTAGTATGCAACTGTAAGAGTACAACAGAAAAAAAAAACTGCTAGCCAGGAACTGGGTATTTCAAACTGATGGTTTTAGCATCCAAAAGTAAGAAGATAGGTTGTTCCTCATGGCAATTTGCAAGGTACAGCTAAGGGACAGCATACTGTTTGGCATAGTTCTTTAACATTGTAAATATCGTTACTGGGAAATTTTATAAAACACTGTATTACATAAGTCATTTTCTCACATTTTAAACAAAAATGAGGACACTGCCTCTTTGGAATTCTACTTCCTTGATATTTATTTTTTTTCTCTCAGTTTCTTCTCTTAAATGGTGGTATTGCCCTAGGATGCTCCCTGGCTGACCTATATGTTGACAACACCTGGATGTACAATGCTCTGGGGCTCAAACTCCTATAGATGCCTGACTGAGGCATGATGGACTTTCCACTTGCTAAAGTAGACTCATATTCTGTAAATTTGCTCTTCTTCCTTGCCTATTTCAGATGGTGATCAGACTAGAGCTGGGTAGCATGAGGTAGGAAAGAAGAGATCAAGAATTAACAAGTTTGTAGTTTTACTGTTACCAAATTAACCATTACCAAGTCCAGCTAATTTTACCTCCTAAGCATTAAAAAGAAAATCCCCCCTTTGCTGTATCTACTCTACCTCCCTAGATTATACAACGGTCACAGAATGGTTTATACATGTGCTCAAACCCCATAGACATATCTCACATCCACCAGAAAGATCTCTCAAATACTAATCTGATCACATCACTTGCCTGCCTACAGCGCTTTGCTGGGCAATCAGGTGTTAAAGTAGTCAATCAGAACAACAAGCCAAACCAAAAGTAATAATCAAGGTTTCATTTACTTACTAGGAAAGTGCAAACAAGATGCAAAAAAGAGAGGTGCTGGCTCAACAATGTTAAATTTTTCATCCCTTGGAATGACCACAGGCAAGGGTCAGGTGGATACAGTGCAGACACAAGGTATCATCTCATTCCAAGGAGTCCCAAACAACAGGCCCCACTTCTTTATGGACCCATGGACTTGAGGGAACAAAAGGGGTGTGGGGTAAGAGCGGAAAGGCCCTGACTCAAAGATAAGAAAAGCACCTTAGCCAAGGGCTCTGGTAAGGAGGCCTCAAAATGGAGGTAGCGGGGCTAGGAATGCAGATGCACATATAAGCATAGGGGCCTGAAGGATTAGGAGAGGAATAGGCCTATGTCCTTGACCTCAATTTTCTCTAGAAAACTGCAATGTACTGCTTATGTGCCAAGTGTGGTATGGTGAGGGCAGCTTCCCCCTGTGAGGTTTGTCAGGCATAGCCTTGGAATATTGCATATGATCAGGCCTGAAAGATCACATAAGGATTTTGGCCTACAGCTGGACTCCTCACTTTTCAGTGGTTACCCAAAAGCCTAAACTTATACAGAGGGAAAACAAAAATTCCCTTCCTCTGACCCCATGTCTACTTTTCTACTCTTATCTCCTGCTTCACATTTTATACTCTGGCAAAACCACCACCTTCTCCCAACTACTTCTAACCTCTATGACAAGCTTGTCCAACCTGTGGCTCATGGGCTGCATGCAGCTCAGGACAGCTTTGAATATGGCCCAACACAAATTCGTAAACTTTCTTAAAACATTATGAGATGTTTCTGCAATTTTTTTTAAGCTCGTCAGCTATCATTAGTGTACTTTATGTGTGGACCAAGACAATTCTTCTTCCGATGTGGCCCAGGTAAGCCAAAAAAAAGATTGAACATGGCTGCTGTATGCCTTTGTCACAAAGTTCCTCTTGCTTTTCTCACCTTCCCCTTCTTCACCAAGCACTTACCCTTTAACATTCATCCCAACTGCCACTTCCTTCAGGAAGCCCACTTAATAAATATCCACCCTCATTCTAGACATGAATAACTACTCCCTTCTCTGTGGATCCATTAGCCCTTATGCATACATACTTCTACTATTTTACTTATCACATATTAATAATATTTTCTGTTTATCTGTCTGTGCAACACTAAATTCCTACAGAACAGAAGCCACATCCTATTCTGTTTTTTATAGCCAATGTCTAACAAGTGTCTGGCACACAGCAGGAACATGGGGAATAATCTATTTGTGGAATTCGTGTTCTATAAATCAGCATTAGTACAGCACTAAGAACAGGACACTACTAAAGCAGGACTGAATGAGCTGAGCCTCACGGAGTAACCAGTTTAGATAACAGGGTCCTCGGTCCTCTCCACATCTAGGGCCAGCTGTTTCAAAACCACTTTGTCATCAAGTTGTTCAATGTGGATATGCCACTCCAGGATTTGGTGTCAAATTTGGATTCATTCTTTATGAAAAGACTTCTTTTTCTGTTTCTTCACCCCCATTTCTGGGTCAAAGATAGTCATCAGGTATCCACCGGAAAAACAGCTGCTAACTAGTAAGCTTCCTGAGAACAAATGTCATATCTATTACTTGGACTTTTTGCTAAGCTTCACAGAACCCCCACCATCAAGATAGCTACCCCTCTGTCCCAGGAAAGGGATTCCAAGGAATTCCTTCCTCAAAAGACCATCTTCACTCATTACGATTGGCTCGTTAGTCTACAAGTATCAGGGCCCATGGTTGTCAGGAATTTCTAAAGGCCTTTTGTTAACATATTATTGGGACTGGAACATTTGTAAAGTGATAAGCACAACTTTTCACCTGTAAGTTTTGAATTTCCAGGAGTTAAACTACCAATTTTTGTAGGTGAGAGAGGAAGAGGAGACCCAAGCAGAAAAAGACAGCCAATGTCAGCAAAGGTCTTAGTGGACAACAGGCTTATAACATTAAATTAGAAAAGTCCATGTAAACCTGTGTCCTTAACAAGTCATATTTTCTAGCTCTGTTACCAAAGAGAATATCAGACTTAATTCAGGGGAAGAGTCCAAGAATGGACCCCAGATAGACCTAAATACCAGGCCTGGAGATTCCAGGCCAGAAAACTTAAACTTTCTCTCAGTAAACACTGAGGTATGTGTTGGGACAAACTCTTTCTGTACTAACTGAGCAAGCCCAGAGCTAGAGAATCCAGAAAGAAACCCAGCTGGGATAAGAAGAAAGCCAGGTACTTTAAAAATCCCAGTGAGAATAACAAAGATGAGTGGTGCATGCCTATAGGTCCCAGCTACTCGGGAGGCTGAGGTGGGAGGATCGCTTGAGCCTGGGAGGTGGAGGTTGCAGTAAGCCAATATCACGCCACTGTGCTCCAGCCTGGGAGACAAAGTGAGACTCCATCTCAAAACAAAAAACAAAAACAAAAAAAAAACAAAGATGAGCTTCCTACCTGGTACTATGGTCTAAATGTTTATGTCTCCCCAAAATTCATATGTTGAAATCCTAACTGCCAGTATGATGATATTAGGAGGTTATAAGGGCAGAGCCCTCAAGAATATTAGTGCCCTAATAAAAGAGACCCTGAGAGAGCTCCTTTATCCCTTTCATCATGTGAGGACACAGGGAAAAGATGACCAGCTATAAACCAGGGGCCCTCACCCAACACCAAATCTGCCAGTACTTTGATCTTGGACGTCCCAGATTCCATAACTGTGAAAAATAAATTTCACAGTTGTTTATAAGCTACCCAGTTTCATTGTTGTTTATAAGCTACCCAGTCTACTGTATTTTGTTATAGCAGCCTGAACAGACTAAGATACCTGGCAAAATCCTCACTCCTCCAGTTAGACCTCACTCGATGTGGTTTTGTTGAGTCATCTCCTACTCTTATAAAAGTATCTCCATGCTTCTGTATCCTTTGCCATTAAAAAATTTTTTAGATCCTCGATGTGGGAAGATAGATTAGTAATTTGTGTTAAATTGTTGCCTACAAATATAATGTTAAAACCCTGAAATATTTTAATGAATTGTGGTTATTTAAAATGAAATCAACAGATAAGTAACAAGTAAACAAATGAATGTGTAGCCCCTGTACTTACAAGAGAACATGGGCGACAATGGCATTCACATCAAACAAGGTGTCAGTAGGGAATTCTCTGAGCAATATGTTGCCCCTATAAAAAGTTTAAAAACATATTAATATTGAAAAATACAAAAAATATTTCCTTAGAATTCAATTTACTTGTCTATCAAATACATTAGCTTATAAGGTCTTTGATGTTACAGCTGTGTCTTGTCCACATACTCCACATACCTACCAGCGTCCTGGCACATAATACATTCTCAATAAATATATTAACTTTGAAAAGCCTAGGCTCTGTACCTGGCAAAAAGGCTAGAAAAAAATAGGAGTCCAAACAAGGATTCCTACCAGTCTCCCCAACTCACAATCACACACACACACACACACACACACACATTCCCCAAATTGGGCTGGGAAGAAGGCAAGAAGGAAAAAGAAGTGTCCTCAGAAGGTCCCTGAGGAAACAGGACCTCTCCCCACTTCTTCGGCCAAATCCCAAGGATTTGAGAAACCTCAGGTAGATCAAACCCAAGTGCAGAGAGATTGGCAGATCTCTCAAAAATAAAGCACATTTATTTCACACCCAAATGTGGACCTGACATATCTACCCAGAACATTAAATTTGGTAAGCACTTGCTTACCAGGCATTTGTTGTAGGAGTTTACACAAGAGCCTCACAAACAACCTTGTGATGTAGGTATTACTCTCTGTTTTATAAATAAGGAAGTTAAAGTACTGAGAGGTTAGGTAACAAATCTATTACTTGGACTTTTGGTTAAGCTTTACATGATCCCCCCTACATATGACTTTATTCTAGCTCAGTGATATTTTACATATTTGAATATTCTAGAAGTATAGCTTTGTATTTGTCCAGCACACTCAGGAAAATAGCTTACTTGAATAAATATGCTTTCATCAAATCCTTTTCTTTTCCACAGTATCTTGATATTTCTTCTTTGACACAATTAACCTTTAAAAGAGTATACTTAAGTTTTAGCATATATATCAAAAGGTCAAGTTTCTTGGTTGGGGAAACAAGAAGGAGAATTAAATATTACAGTTTGTTGCAGGTCAAATTTTGTATTTTATGTTTTTTTCTGATTTGTATGCTATAATTGTTCACATATTCAAGTGCATGAGATAACCCAAAGAAAGGCACTATTTCTGAATTCAGTCTCATGGAACCAGTATGTGGTAACCAGGTAGAAAAGGAAGGACACATTTAAGGCAAGACAAAAAGTATGAGCAATAGCCAGGAAGCACAAAAGTGAGTGCTAACTTGGAATGATGAAAGCATCTCAGCAAGTGGAACACAGAGATAGCAGATACTGCTGGTTTCCCACCCAAAATCCATCCTTCCCTTTTGTTTACTAACAGAACTTTGCTAAAAGCAAGTGTTTCATTAAAAGGCTTTCCCAACCTCCCCAACAGCCTGCAATGGCTAAATGGTGTTTGGAGGAGTCACTGGGCTGAAACTCCTAAAAGGCTCTTAAAAGTGGGCTGACTGATACTTTTGCTCTTTTCACTCCTTCTTGACCAAAAATAGGTAAGACAGATGGAGTACCAACAGCAATCACGGACCATAAGGCATCTTTAAAGAAGCTACTTGCAAAGAATGGTACAACAGAAAGAATGAACTAAGTCAATGATGATGTCAGAGCAGCCATACCAGCCCTGGATAGCTTATAATCTGAACTCTAAGTGAAAAAAATATATAATAACAATCTTGGCAACAACATGAAGATAAACAGAAAGCAAAAGAACACAAAGATAAGGAGAGTTTAAAAGAATATCACATTAGCGTAGGTCATGGATGACTTGGATGAGAAGTAAAGCCAAAAAGGACAGAAGACATACAAAAGGCTTTTTACAAATACAATACATACAACTAGGGGGAAGACTGAGCATGTATATGCAGATTGAGATAGAGGAAGAGAGGAAAGAGAAAAAAAGAATGAAGGGGTTTCTAGATGGGGCAAATGGAGAGCCACCAATGTTAACTAACCAAAACTAAGGCTAGAAGAATAGTTATTTTGTTTTGCATTTGGTAAGGCTTTTGTTTCTCTTAAGAGGGGGTTTTCCTGTTGTTCAATTTAATTTTAATGGGATTTGAGGAAGAAGAAGAAGAACTGGGGAAGCAACGTTTGTTTAAAAGGCTACAAAACAGGAACTGACACTAAGAAACGAGAAATAGAGAATCAGAATTAAAGTCAGACTATAGCCATAACCAAAAAGTAAATTTTAATATATGTAATTTTAAAAATTTTTTAAGTTACAGCATAAGGATGGTTGGTATTATGACAATAGATGTGTCCATTCATTCATCAATTCAAAATATATTTGAACATCTACCATGTCAGTCACTGTTCTAGTCACTTTGGGTACAGGTAAGTTCCAAATAAAAATATTTAGCTTTAGAACAATGTAAGGTAGAGACAAGTTGAAAACTAATTAATATGTAGTGTTAAGTCCTATAAATAAAAAAATTGTAAGGGAATAGCATGTGATAGGGCATTTTAGAGAGGTAATCAAGGAAGGCTTCTCTGAAAAAGTGACATTTGCACAAAGAACTGAAGAAATGCAGTAATGCATAAAAGTATACAAATAAGTATAAGAGATGAGTTCTAAGCAGAGGGGAAAATATCTGCAAAGGCCCTGTGGTTAACAGCACCTCCAGCAGGTTCAAATAACAGAAAGATGACCACTATGTATTAAGAACGAACTGAACAAAGTGGAGGGTCAGAAAATGAGATCAGAGACAAAGCCAGTGTCCACAACACTCAAAAGTTTCTATTTGATCATAATTGGAATGAAAGGACTTTCGCAGCATGGTAGTGATGTATCCTGATACATCTGGCTACATATGGAGAAGAGTCTGTCATGGGACAAAGTGAAGGAAGAAAGGCCAATTATTAGGAGGCTATTGTGGTTTCCCCAATGAGAAGAGATGGCAGGAAGAAGTAAAAATGAAGGTATAGGAAGTGGTCAGATTTGAAAAGTTCTCATAGTAGAACCAAGTAGTAGATGGATTACTTATGAGAGAAAGAAAAGTCAAGGATGACAGAGCTTTTTGTTTAAAATCTACTTTGATACACTAGATTTCTTCTGGTTATCACTTGTATAATATATCTTTTTTTTCCTTCCTTTACTTTGAAGATTTCTGAAACCCTTATTTTGGATGCATTTCTAAATATCATTGGTTAGGGAAACAAGAAGGAGAATTAAACATTACAGCTTGTTTCAGGTCAAATTTTGTACTTTACGTTTTTTTTCTGATTTGTATGCTATAATTGCTCACATATTCAAGTGCATGAGATAACCCAGAGAAAGGCACTATTTCCGAATTCAATCTTATGGAACAAGTAGGTGGTAACCAGGTAGAAAAGGAAGGACACATTTAAGGCAAGACATATAGCCCTAAATAGCATACAGCTTTCTTGGGTTATTGTATCCAGCTTGACATTCATTGTCTTGACTAGAATACGTAGCCCATTTATATTTTAGCATTTTCTTCATCCTGCCTCTTGCTATCTTCTGAAAACAATCTTAAATGCTGCTTTTTGTGAACTCTTTCCCAATACATCTGTGACTTTCCACCTCAAAAATCAAATATAGGCTTTCTTTCCTTTAAACTTCAATGGGCTAGGCGCGGTGGCTCATGCCTGTAATCCCAGCACTTTGGGAGGCTGAGGCAGGAGGAACACCCGAAGTCAGGAGTTTGAGACCAGCCTGACCAATATGGTGAAACCCCATCTCTACTAAAACTACAAAAATTAGCCAGGCATGGTGGCATGCGCCTGTAGTCCCAGCTACTTGGGAGGCTGAGACAGGTGAATTGCTTGAACCCAGGAGGCAGAGGTTGCAGTGAGCCAAGATGGTGCCACTGCACTCCAGCCTGGGTGACAGAGCAAGACTCGGTCTCAAAAAAAAGAAGAAAAAAAACTTCTATGGCACTTTATTTGTATCTCTCCTATTACAATGATCAGGTTCTGCTAGTTATTAAAATGACTTGTGAATGTGTTTTATCCTCCTTATTTAGGATATAAACTCTCCAAAGAAAAGGACAGGGGCTTAGTCATCTTTCTATCCAAAAGAAGATTAAATATGGTAAGCTCATTTCTATCTCACAAATATTTACTCAGCACTGGGTGGTGGGAACTGAGCTAGGCACTCAACAAAGGTTTATCTCATTTGCCACTATCTCCTTTCCAGATAGAGCTCAGCATTCTCACTGTAAAATCAGGAGTTTCAGGCCGGGTGCAGTGGCTCATGCCTGTAATCCCAGAATTTTGGGAGGCCAAGGCGGGTGGATCACCTGAGGTCAGGAGTTCAAGACCAGCCTGGCCAATACGGTGAAACCCCATCTCTACTAAAAATATAAAAATTAGCCAGACATCGTGGCACATGCCTGTAATCCTAGCTACTGGGGAGGCTGAGGCAAGAGAATCGCTTGAACCTGGGAGGCGGAGGTTGCAGTGAGCCGAGATTGTCCCATTGCACTCCAGCCTGGGCGACAAGAGCAAAACTCTGTCTCAAAAAAAAAAAAATCAGGAGTTTCAGTTATGTTCGTCCATAAGGGCAACAGCTTGGGCATGAACCTTAGCATTCTATTCAAGTTACTATATGCATAGTTATTAGCGACAGTCTACCAGTTACTAAACAGTATGATTATCCCTTTTGAGTTTCCTACCAACCTACTACTTCATTTCTAAGTTTCAATTTAAAATTTTATTCAGAGATCCTTGGAGATGATTGCCATTATCATTCTAGAGTGAAATCAGTTGTTCAAAGTTAATTGAGATCTCTATACGTACAGAATTGACACATTTAAAAAATAGATATTTTTTAAAGGTATACAGCCAATGTTAGTCAATGTTTCTATGCTGTCTGCTCTGGGAACTCTAGCTGCAGAGACCAAGAGCGACCATAGCCATCTTTTAGAAGAGGAAGGCTAATGAATTAAGAAAAAATGTACACAGAAAGTCAGGTAGACATTAACCAGAAAGAATTTAGTATCACTGGGTTACCCCTCATTCAGTTGTCTGATATATAAATTCTAAGTTTAAATTAAATGAAAGGCTTACATATCTATCTAATCCATGATGCATGTGGAAATTTTCTATAATACTCTATGGCAAATTTGAACATTTTTTGAGAAAAAAATTAAGTATGTAATGTTGAGTCGTTATAACTTTGTTCTAAAAATAAATGCGAAAAAGTGAAACATAAACAATTATAAAGACTTAGAAGAACAGAAAAAAATTATTTGTTTACCTCCATTTTGTTACTTCAGTTTGTGCTAATAAAAATTTAAAAACAGCTGAATTGTGGCTACCTATTATGAAATATTCATTAGGCAAAACAAAACAGAACAAAAACCTAACTATAGGTTTGAAAAATGATACCATGGGCCCAATAGAATGGTTTATAACATAAAGTTAAATTCTAAGCTAAAAATTTTTAAACAGCTTTTTGTCCCCTCTATATGCAGTATGTTATGCAATAACCTGAAACTATCTTTCTGGGCTTCTGTTTATTCTTATGAAAAAAATATATTTCCAGTTTGGAAAAAGATATGAAATGGAAGTATTTTAAGATATTCAATCTTAAGCCATAAAGTTGTAAGATGTTCGTCACTAATATTTTAGTAACATAAATATCTTTCTACCTTGGCAACTGAAATTCCATAGTCCTGCAGAGGTCTAACAGCCTCATTCAGTTCTTCAAGAAATACAGATGTTCTTGGGGAATCTAAAACAACAAATGTTTCATGAATGTTTATGAATTGCCCCTTAAAAATGAATTTTAAAATCTGCAAACACAGAATAGATTCATTTGTCCAACTAGCATGCAACAACAAATAACTAAACATATCTCATTACATATTTTCACACCCTTATTTTACTATTGCCTCATTATTCTTATTTCTGTTTTTATCATGATGTACTTTAACTTTGTAAATGGACCTTAAAAACTTCCTAAAACAACAATATAATAAATGTTTCGTTTAAACCTAACATTTGGCATTCTTCCTCCAAGTTTAATACCATATACACAACACACATGTACACATACAAAAACTTTCAAAATGATTTTAAAATATCATTTTCTAATCACAATTATAATAAGGGAGCCAACAGAAATGTGTATACTCACTTCACTTATTAATTCCAAGAATAGTACTTTTAAGACATGAAGACTTGAATTTGACTATTAAAAAAATTATTAGTTATGCTCAATAGTTATATTAGTTAATTCAGTATAATTAACAATACAGCTAAAGCAGGGTATTAATCTAAAGCATTACATTTAAAGTTGTAAAAAACTTAAAATAGTTACACGCTAAAAACATGAGAAAGTATTCTTTCAGATGTTATGTTAGTAGCTAACTCTTATCTAGTATTTACTATGAACTCAGCATATAAGTAAAATCATTTAATCCTCACAACAAACTTATAAAGTACTATTTCTTCTGAACAGATGATGAAAGAAAAACACAGAAAAGCTAAGTGACTTAACCAAGGTCACACCACAGGACAAGCGGCACGGGCCGGATTCAAACCCAGTCAGACATATTATAGTAACAGCTATATAGCACATATTATTAATCTTAACAGAAATTTCCCACTGAACTTACTGATTAAATAGCAATAAAAACATCACAAGAATCATATTAGAATTTTAAAAATACTTACCAGCTTGACAAAAATAAGCTAAAGAGGCTTTTCCTGGTTGCAATGTACTAAAATATTTCTGAGGACTCAGTTCTGGTAAAGAGTTTACTGTTGGCATGTAAAAAATGCACATTATGACAAAAGAGATCCCAACTCTAAAGACATTGAAGCCGGAAAACATTATCAGCTGCAGTTGTATCTGAGCGGATTTTGTCTGTTTTTTCACTGCTGTGTTCTGTTTCCTAAGACAACACCTGGCACAGAGAAGGTATTCAACAAGAGTTTGTTGAATGAATTTGTTAAATGAATGAATGAAGTAAAATCTACAAAAAGAAAGTCATTAGTCACATCATTTGATTTTGCTAGTACTTTACTATATCATAAAAATTTGAGGGGGGACAATATATAACAACATTGACTTGAAAATACTATTGATTTTTCATACTTGCAAAAGATATCAAAACTACCTAGAAAATGCTCAATTTAGTAGAGTGTGTTAAGCTAATTGTCATTTTAAAGGGTTCTAAAATTAATTCTCAAACATTAACCAATCCATTTTTTAATTGGGCATTTTGTTTTTCTTTACCTATAGTTGATTATAAGAAATAATCGAATAATTATTTAATACCATTTAGATGGGAGTGAAACAGCCAAAATATGCCTAATATGTTTACTTTTACTTTAAATCCCCTAGAAGAAATCTATTAAAACAATGGAAGAACATTCCTTCTAAATATACATAATTTGTAATGCCTAACCCTTAGATTTCTCTATACTGCTTAAAAATTTAAATATCTTTTTCAACTCATACTTTAATTCAATTCTATGTTCTGAAATCAAATTTGTTCTAGATATCCTCCTCTTATCTTCTTTCTTGGCGTACTTACTTCCATGCTGTCCTCTGTATCTGCTGTTAATTCTTTATTTTCTATTTTGCTACTTTCAAATTTTTCTTGAACAACTTCAAGAAGTTTTCTACTGATGATCTATGTTATCTACATTTAAAAGAAGAAAGTTTAGAAAAATTAGTATAATATAAAAACAGTCATAGCTGTAGGTGAAAATTTTGTTTCAGTATTTTTAAAATTTCAAACAGGACCCATCTCTTTCAAATGCAAGCTCACTATCTCAAAATAGGCAATAGGAAAAAACAGCAATAGATTATTTCTATATACTCATAAGGATAAAAGTAGAATTTTTCAGCAAAGAATAAAATAATAAAGAATTTGAAATGTATGAAAAATCATATTAAATTGAGTATTTACTCTGCTCATTCAATATTATCAATAAGCACATAATATCTCTCTCTAACAAGCCGGTGTTCCTGAAAAAAAAAATGAAGTAATTACTCATTGGTTATTTCCTAATAATTCTGTTCTTCAGAGGCAGTATATATCAAACAGTGAAAAAATTTGCCATCAATTTTTAATAATGAGTCAAGAGTTCAAAAACTCAAAGTAAAATGAGAAGCAAGAACTATAAGAGGTATATAAAAATGCAATTTTAATGGCATAATTAAGGGGTATCATTGACATTAAAATTGATTATACATTATAACCATTTTAAACCAGCCTATTTTAAAGCTACTTTATATTAATAGGGATGTTTTAAAATAGGTCATCCACTATTTTCTTCATATTCTGGAGAAAATGCATGCATTTCTGAGGCTAAGAGAATAACTATGTAACATTCATTACTATATATGAAATAACTATAACCTAATTAAACTGTACAACATGAAAAGCACAGGTGAAAGATTCCAGTATAGAATATCATCTTTCCTGGCCTCCAGGTTATAATTTAACCATTTTAACACTAAATTGGACATCAGTGTTAACATATTATTACTCTTTTCACCTAGAATGTATTTTGTAGCACCAAAGGTCTAACCATACAGCCAATGCTTAAATACTTTCCCATATTTCCTATCTCGTTGGCCAAACAAGATTATATATGTGAAAGCACTGTGCTTTTAATCGGTTAGAGACATTGGTGATTGTTCTTACATGTTTAGAGTTAGGAACTCAGTAATAATCTCTGTAGTTTGTTCCATCTATGGTAAGATTTGATTATTTTAAAAATTACTTAAAGCAAAGAATACCGCACGGGTCAGCTAGAAGTAGAATTTATGTCTTCATAATGAAATAAATACTGAATAATGATTTAACCAAAACCATAACAACTGTTGAGAGAAAGGGAAGATAGAAAATAAGGAAACATGCAGCTAGGGTGGGAAAATAAATGAAAGAGAACTAAATTTTCAACTTTCGCAAAACCAAAAACCAAGTTTATTGAAAATAGGACGGTCAATGCCAAAACAAACAGTGAGCAGTTGAAAGTAATTGGCTCTAAGGAAGAAGAAAGAGGGGAAAGGGAGTAGGGGAAGGATATGTACCTTGTAGGACCATGGAAGAGTGGACATTTCACATGCATGGAAAATAAAATGCATTTGCTCAGAGACATGCTGTCCTCATAAAAAGATCTTAACTAAAGGCAAGGGAATGTGGGTGGGGAAAAAGAATATCAGCAAGAGCAGAGTGAAAACAAAGATACAAAAGGTACTTGGTGACTTTTTTTTTTCTTTTTTTACCTCCAGTAATTAGAAAAGGGAATGAAAAACAATACTTGGCCAGCCACGGTGGCTCACGCTTACAATTCCAGCCCTCTGGGAGGCAGAGGCAGGAAGATCACTTGAGCCTAGGAGTTCAAGAGCAGCCTAGACAACACAGAGACCCTGTCTCTATAAAAAGTAAGAAAAAAAATTGCCATGCATGGTGGCACACACCTGTAGTCTCAGCTACCAGGGAAGCTAAGTCGGGAGGATCGTGATTGAGGCTGCAGTGAGCCATGATCATGCCACTGCACTCCAGCCTGGGTGAAAGAGGAAGACCCTGCCTAAAAACAAAACAAACAAACAAACGAACAAACAAAAACTTAATACTACAAAAATCTAGATATCAGAACCAAGTGATGAGTACCTTCAGAGAAATGCGGCCTTGTTACCTCGGTGTGATAGTTCATTACTATAGTTCTAGTTCTCCTTGCAGTTACTAATTACACTTAAGCTCCCTCCATCCTCCACCTCTGGGGGAGTTAGTTACGACCACCAGATGACTTACTGTGGCCAATAAAATGTGAGCAAAAGTGGCATCTGTCTCTTTCAGGCAACAGTTTCGGCAGTTAGTGTTAATAAAGCCAGGCTTTACAGTCTTCTGCTGCAGTCAAGAGAAATGCCCAAATGCTGTCTATTCTGTGAGCATGAGCATAACAGAGAACTCCCAGCTAATGTGTAATAAGCATGTGACATAGGAAGAAATAAACCTTGTTGTTTTAAGTCACTGAGATGGCAGGGGTTATTATAGCAGCATAAACTATTTTCTCTTAAGCTGCATATAAACTAGAAGTGAGATGCCACCTTAACGAAAACTCCAAAACACTGGCTGGGGCCAAGCAGCATAGAAACTGTTCTGGGCCTGCTCAAGGAAACATTTATCAGAGACTGGAGCTAAGCAAGTGACCCACATTAATAAGTTTGATAAAACTGTCACTACAATAATTTGGAGGTGACATGTACCTGATTAACTTATAATGAATGTGTACCTATGTTCCCGTGGCTAATGAACTTATTTATAGCTCTAAAAGAAGAGGCTGGAAGATAGATTAGTACTGTGTGATGGTTGCTGTTGGTGGTGTTTAACAAGGTATTAAAAGAAAAATACCCAGAGAAGAACTGCCATCCAAAAGACTAGATGTTCAAAACTTAAAACAATCCTTAGGCCCCCACCCGTGCATGGTCACAAAGCAAACTGACAAAACTGCTCAGCCACAGAAAGAGGTCAGAGGCCATATGCTCCAAAGCCAATTTCAGATGTGGCCAAGAGTAACAAAAATGGAAGAACCTCACACAGGGCAAAGCCAAGGACCACGGAGAACTATGCTGTAGGGCATGTGCAGAGTAAAAAGTATTTGTTACTTGTCTAAAATAATGACATAAATACAGAAATGGAATGTAAATGTTTAGAACATTTTATAGCAATTTCACACAGTAATTTTATATTTGTTGAATCTAATAATAATTTTAAAATTGGGCTTGTAAATTGATGTTCTTTATTTCACTTTTCCTGTAATTCATTTCTATTGTGTTAGGAGTGTTGTTGTTGTTTCAACTGGCCTAGAGAACTCAGGGAACAGAACTAGAGCCCTAGCAACAACTGCCTAGAGAGATTTCAACCGTAGATTGCTACAATCTAGAGTCTGGTGTGTGTTTTCCATTCTTCCTCTCTCCAAACAGGAATACTTACAGTTATCTCTCCCAGCACTGCCTTATGTGTTCAACAGGGGGTGGCAGACAGATAACTTCTATCTAGACCAGTAAAGAGATGACCACTGCTGGGCATTACTCAGAGATCCTCAACTTTAGGCTTCACATAGTGAAGATGGTAATTTTGAATTACCTCCACCAGGAAAAGCCAAGGAAGAACTACATATACAAAGGAAAGCATTTGTTGACGAGAGACTGTTCAAATGTTTCTAGTTCTCTGCACGTTAAAATTATACATCTCACTTCCTTGAGTTAGGTATGGCCATGACTTGGCCAATGAAATGTGCAAGGTGACATGTACTTCTGGAAGCTTTTAAGAGTCAGTATACATGTGCAATGAACCACAACACACTTTCCCTCTGCCATGATGACTGATTACACTCAAAATTAGGCCTTGTCTGTCAGCCCAAGTCCCAGAAAGAGAACACCATAGGGGAAAGCTCCCAACTGATCCAGTGTAAACTAAACTATTATGTGACGGTTACTATGGGACTGAACGAAGGCAGAACGAATGTAGAAATGAAAACAAAGACAAAATAATCTGTTTTAAAGAAGGGGTCGGGGGCTCCTTGCTTCTAGTGAGCAAGGGCCTTGAGCTTCCACAACCCTTCATATTTATTGGGTAGCAAGAGCAGGGAGGAGCAGGTAATGGTTGGTCAGCTGCTTGATTTATCACAGGTTCACATGATTGCTAACAGGCTTCAGATGTTCCTGTAGATAATCACAAGAAACACTGCGCCTGGGGTGTGACTGGCCTTAGCATTCCTTCTGGGAGGCAGACGCAGTTTGTCAATTCGCCAACAACCTGCCTTCATGAGAACAGTTTGCTGTTTGCTCATATAGCCTCCAGTGGTATACCGAGTTGGTCACAACCCTCATTCTTTCTGCCTCCAACACTATTAGGCCAGGCACGGTGGCTCACACCTGTAATCCCAGCACTTTGGGAGGCCGAGACGGGTGGATCACCTGAGGTCAGGAGTTCGAGACCAGCCTGGCCAACATGATGAAACCTGTCTCTACCAAAAATACAAAAAATTAGCTGGGCATAGTGGCAGGTACCTGTAATCCCAGCTACTCAGGAGGCTGAGGCAGGAGAATCACTTTAACCCAAGAGGCAGAGGTTGCAGTGAGCCGAGATCACACCATTGCACTCCAGCCTGGGCAACAAGAGCAAAACTCCGTCTCAGAAAAAAATAAAATAAACCATTATTTTAAACTTCTAATGTTTCCGGGTTGTTTCCACAGTATAACCCAGTCTAGCACTATTAGTACACCTGGTCTTAGTAACGGGTAAAGGGATTATGACTTGAACATAAGATGACTCTTTAAAATGCAATTGACTATTACCACAAAAGATGCCAATACTAAAAGACGGGAAAAGTAATAGGTAAATGTTTTCCATAGCATGTTTGCCAATACTACAGATACACCTCCCAACTACATGTAGACTTTGATCCTTTGGGCTGCGAGAGGCCCTCAATTCTTCAGTATAATGGTCCTGCTGGCATGGATCAGAGTTGACATATAAGATGTAACTTTTGTCTCATCCCTAAACTCTGAAGAAGTGTGTTTGCACAGCTCATTTAAATAATAGAAAGAATGAGTGACATGTAACTAAAGACTAATACAAGAGGGTAACAGCACTGTAAGAATGGCTCCGTGAGACAATAGTAGAAAAAGGGCTAAAGCGTGCACATAAAATGTTAAAGGCGACAAAAGTGTGTTTTGTTCAGCAACTGAATATTAAGCTCCAAAAGACATCAAGGAGGAAGTACTTCAAGAGAAAACGCTAGTCTTCTTGTAAGGAGACAGTATGAGGATTTGCCTTTGTGTTCCTTAGGCAGGTAGAACAGCTGGTAGCCCTCGTTAGCTCCACTAATCCCATTTTGGTATAGGGTACTGTATGCAATAGTAATTGACAAACAGTTCTGATTTTTTTTTTTTTTTTTTTGAGACAGAGTCTGAACAGAGTCTCTGTCACCCAGGCTGGAATGCAGTGGTGCAATCTCCACTGACTGCAAGTTCTGCCTCCCCGGTTCATGCCATTCTCCTGTCTCAGCCTCCCAAGTAGCTAGGACTACAGGCGCCCGCCACCACACCTGGCTAATGTTTTGTATTTTTAGTAGAGACGGGGTTTCACTGTGTTAGCCAAGATGGTCTTGATCTCCTGACCTCGTGATCTGCCCACCTTGGCTTCCCAAAGTGCTGGGATTACAGGCGTGAGCCACCATGCCCGACCCAAACAGTTCTGCTTTTAAATGTTTGAAAGACTACTGTGCTAGGGTCATCTGTCCTCTCAGAACAACAATATTAAATCTTTATGCATTTGGACACATTTAAATTTTAGAATAGCTGACACCAAGCTTTTCTAGGAAACCCTTGGTTAGTTCCCCCTTTATAGGCCTAATATTCCCTTATGATTAACCATAAAATTAATGGCTTTTCCTCTCAGAAAAGAAGGAAATTAACAACTGTAACTATTAAATAAATTGTAGCAACATCTGTGGCCATCATACTCAGGAAAAAGACACACTTCATATTTTGCAACAAATGGAGTATATAACGCTTACAAAGTTCCCATAAGAACATTCTGTCTGAAGTCAGCTTACTTACAGTTTAATGCTGCTACTGGAGAACAGAACCTGCTCACTGAACCAGCCTCAAATAAAATGTTGATCAGATCTCAACACAGTTTATCATTTCAGACCCAAGGAGGCAATAAAAGGAGTCAACATCTCTCCCCTTTAGAGCCTTTTCAAAGCAGTTGGGAGGAAAATCCTCTACCTGCACCCTCACCGCCCACCTCTAAACACACACTCCCATCCCCCAAAAAAGAGAAAGGAGGCAGCTATCCAGACTTGCTCTTACTGACACATGGCAGGTGGCAGGTAAGCCTCACAGGCCAAGACCTAAAATTAGTATGGGTACTATCCAGATGTTTACTATCACTTTGAGCAGAGAATAGAGGAGAAAAAGAAAAACCTTTTAAAGTCTATTGATGACTTGAAATGTGCACCTCAATGATTATGGAAGATGCAAATAGGCCATGGCAGAGAATATGTGGCGCCCTTGATTTTGACAAGTGCCTAAAATCACACAACTCTGATTTTATGCTCAATTTAAATACTTAAGCACATTACTGCAATCAATTACATCACTGCTGTCATGAGCATCCTGTCTCCTATTTGAAGAGAATTGTGTACCGCCCTGACCACATTCTCTAAAAATACATGAGATGAACTTCTTAGGTTCCAATAAACATAAAATCCTTCTCCAAAGCATAGATGTTGGATTAGGCCTGTTAACTTCTTAGAGCAAGCCGTACCCTCTCATACACTGCACTCTCTACCTGCTCAGCTGAACGTTTCATCTGAGGGATGTCTAGGTAACAGTGCTAGGCCTGTACATCTACCACAGTTTGTCAGCATACCTATAAAGAACTCAAACCACACTAGCATCTGGTACCTGGACAAACGACTGTCCCAGAATCTACAAAATAGACTTTAAAGTTCCCTGTGGAATACTTAGCTAGGAAAAAAGACAGCAACACTCTTCTTGGGCAAAGCATATGACAAAGGCCAGCCTGGACAATATAGTGAAACCTCGTCTCTACCAAAAAAAAAAAAAAAATCAGCCGGGCATGGTGGCTCCAGTGCCTGTAGTCCCAGCTACTTGGGAGGCTGAGGTGGGAGGACTGCTTGTGCCCAGGAGGTGGAGGTTTGTAGTGAACTGTCACTACAGCCTGGGCGACAGAGCGAGACCCTGCATGAAAAAAAGGAAAAAAAAAAAAAAAAGCATAGGACAAAGGATGGTGAGGTAAGAAAAGCTGGGTCTTTGTTGCTCCAATAAACGTAGCAATGTCTTTCACAAGGATACTGAATTCGTAATGTGCTGTGTATTCTAAAGAAAACAAATTATTTCCTTTTAATTTTGCACTACTTGCTAATCTTATTTCCAAATAGGAAAAAAAAAAGTCAACAACTATGTGCCGGCCCAATATACGTTAGTCGATCTGATTATTCCTCGGTTCTTCACAGCAGTAACACAGCATGTATTTTCTCTCTCAGGCCCAGGAATAGCGCCACCATCTACCATACACAGGTCCAAGGCTTCGATACATGTGGAATTTAAACAGTACAGAATATTCTACTTCCTCTCCAGGCAATCATCATACTTACAAGTCTGTTTCTGCCTTTTTCCCAAAACTTAAGCCCAGAGCATCTTCCCAAATTCTACGTTTGAAAGAACCAGCTTCCCCCTGCTCACAGATCGCTTCAACATCCATCTGATACTACTACTACTCTTCCTTAAGAGACATTTCCCTTGGCCTTGGGAGGAAAGGGTCTTTCACTTAAGAGCTCCGATTCTCCCCGTCGCCCCTTTCCATCCCCTCGACCCACAAAGGGCTCCGGTGTTTCCCGCCGTTCATGCAGCGAAAAGAGAAAGCAAAATGCCCTCAGGAGGCTCCAGGTGAGGCCCTTCGGTGCCCCAGAGACGGGTGTCTTAAGTCAGACTCCGGAGCTGTGCAGTGCAGCCCTGGCTACAGAAAGCTGCTTCGTCTGAATCCCCGGGTCTGCAGGCAGAGCCCACAGCCTGAAGGGCCAGCGCTGTCACCTACCTGCCCGGGACCTGCGGGCGGGGACCTGGGCCGTTCCCGAGGCCGCGCGGCCAACAGTTCCCGCCGCCACGCGACGGAGGAGGAGGCAGAAGACGGGGCCGTGCCAGACTAGCCGGGTAGCCTGGAACCACTTCGCCAACCTGCAAAGGCGTAGCACTTCTCCCTCCCAGCCTGCAGCCGCCACCGACTCGGCGGAGTCGGCCTCCTGGGAAAAAACAACCTGCGAAGCTCCTCCTTCTCCTCGTGCTCCCTACGCGAGGCACTCTCTAACCAATGGGAAACGTGGTGGGCGGAGCGAGAGTGACAGACGATTACAGAGTCCTCCCGCCGGCGCGAACGGGCGGTGCAGTAGCAGGGCCAATCAGCAGCGTGGGTGGGAAGTACAGGGGCGGGAGAAAGTAGGGAAATTACGCGCCCAATCAGATCTCGGGGCCCTCGAGCGACGGGTCCTGCGGCCCGTGGCCTTCCGAGCGCGGCGCTCAGGGGGCGTGCCTGCCTGGGCCAATCGGCGCGAGCCCACAGTGCGGAGCGAGCGCCTCAAATGCTCGGGTTTCTCAGCTGATTGTCTCCAGCCGAGAGTTGTTTTTTGCAGCTACGGAGCCGAGCCGCAGCAGGAGGAGCCGAGACCCCCGGGGGGTGGGGGGAAAGAGGAGGCGGGGTCCGGGGGAGCCGCGGCTGCTTTGCGCTGGACTCCGGGTCCCGTCACGGCGCTTCCTGGGGTTAGAGGCTGGGGTGGGTGGGGGGTAAGGGGGCAGTCCTTCTCCCCTTCGACGGCGGCTCCGAGTCCAGCCCCTTCCTTCCCGCGCTCGCTCGCCCGGCCCCCAGCCCCCTCATGAGGGTGTCCGTGCCGGGTCCGGCGGCCGCTGCCGCCCCCGCAGCCGGCCGCGAGCCCTCCACGCCCGGCGGGGGCAGCGGAGGCGGAGGCGCCGTCGCTGCAGCCTCAGGCGCCGCGGTGCCGGGCTCCGTGCAGTTGGCGCTGAGCGTCCTGCACGCCCTGCTCTACGCCGCGCTGTTCGCCTTTGCCTACCTGCAGCTGTGGCGGCTGCTCCTGTACCGCGAGCGGCGGCTGAGTTACCAGAGCCTCTGCCTCTTCCTCTGTCTCCTGTGGGCAGCGCTCAGGACCACCCTCTTCTCCGCCGCCTTCTCGCTCAGCGGCTCCCTGCCCTTGCTCCGGCCGCCCGCTCACCTGCACTTCTTCCCCCACTGGCTGCTCTACTGCTTCCCCTCCTGTCTCCAGTTCTCCACGCTCTGTCTCCTCAACCTCTACCTGGCGGAGGTAAGGCGGGAGGGCCGGCATGCGGGGCCCGGGCGGGTGCGCGGGGCCGCCGGGATCAACTCCCGCTGAGGACCAGCGGGGGCGGGGGGTGGGCAGCGAGAGGCGGACTGGAAACCAGCCTGGGGAAACTGAGGCACACCTGGAGTGTGAGCCAGTGTTTTCGCCTTAAACTTAAGTGGCTGATTGGCTTGATTACTGAGGGGTTCGGGCTAGGGGGTGAGTGAGTGAGTGTGTGTGTCTGACAACTTAAAACAGCAACGGAACGAACCCTTTGTTCGGTGTTCTGGCCCTCCGAGGTAAGGCGTTGGTGGCACCAACAAAGTGGCATCGCAAGAAGTAGCAGCCCCGGTGGCTCTGCCGAAGCCGGACTGTGTTGAGGGAGGTTGGATGCTGAGGTAGCAGCAGCTCTGCTGAAGCTGGACTGCTGCCAGCCATTACGTCACCAGGCAGAGCTGTTCCTCTGCTATTGTTGCTGCGTTTCTTTTATTAGAAGCTTATATTCCCTCCTGCATCTCCTTTCCTGTGGCTCGATAAGCCTCACATAAATTTCGTTCGATAGTTCCCCAGCAGGGTTGATGATCAATAACCAATGCTGAGGATCAGGATAAGGACCTCCATAAAGCCCTTAATGTTTGCCCCAGTTGCTTCGTGCTTTAGCGGTTTATCCTACCTCCTATTAGCATAGTCTTTTTTGGAGCTAATTAAGAGAAAAAAATACTAGCTTAACCTGTGCCTATTGCAGAAACAAAACCACCAAACTGTTTTTGCAATAACTTGCTTAATATCTGGAACCTAATCACACCCCCTTTCTCTTTTATGGGGAATTGCTGGTTGGATTGCATTGTTCTGCAGCGCTTAGGTATTTGACCCATTTCAAACAGGTTTGGGAGTGTAAGGTTGTCAATCATGTGTGTCAGCTTGTGGTATTTAAGCCATAATATTTTAAGACTTTCCCCCAAAAAAGTCCTCCTTCCCACCAAAAGAAAAGCTTGAGGAGGGGAGGAAGCAAGGTGACATCATATGCTTAATACAGACTAATATAGAATAATATTGGCCTATGCAGCTAATCCTCTCAAAGGCTTTTTTGGAGGTGATGGAATTAATGTAGTTCCAAGCAAAAGTAAAAAAAAAAAAAATGACGTATATTAAGTGTTTATATTTCCTGCATAAACCAACTCTTTTCTCCTTTAATAGGAAGTAGAATGCATAATTTTATAATCAGTCATAATGTCAGCTATTTAGCACACTAAAAACAATAGTTGAAAACAACAAAACTAATTTAACTTTTATTATTTTCCTTCTCCATCCTTTGAAAGTCCAAACAATACAATGACAAAAACGCAAACCAGTAAGCGGAAATAAGAAGCATAGGTTATCACAAATCAAATGATGCCATAGTCGTGTCACTTATTTGAGGGTGTTCTAATCTAGTTGTCGTTTAAGCTGTTATAACACTTCTACCCTTTATACTTAAACTGATACATTGTAATCTTCCTGCCACCATTTCAGATAGTGCGTTAGTGACTTCTCAACGCTGAAGCTTTTACTCCAGGTTCAGATGTTTACCTGAAAGTGACTAGCGATTTTTATGCCAGGGGCATCAGATGACTTGTTTTTTCCCTATATATTTTGATTTACAAAATAATATGAATGATTCACTGTAAAATAGTTGGTAGGCATTTCATAAAGTGGGTAAACACTCTTTTTACTTCTTGAGGTATAACATATACAATAAAGTCCACAATCTTAAATGCACACCTAGATGAAATTTTATATCTGTATACACCCATGTTACCACCACCCAGATTAAGATATAAAGCATTTTCCGTGTCCCAGAAGTTTCCCTTTTTACCCTCTCCCAGTCAGTAGCTCCCCCAGGTAAGCACAAAGTGGGTAAACACTATCCAAAAAAGGAGATATATTTAAGCTCAAAATTCTGAAGGTATGCTTATATAGCATAGAATACACGGAGTATCTAGATTGGGTCTTCAGACTTTGAGCTAATATTCCAAGCTAGTGAGGAAGAATTTAAAATCTGAAAGTCTTCCTGTTAAATGTTTGTGTAATATGCTTTTTTAAAAACGATAAAACTCTATTAACCTGAAAAATACAATTTGGAAAGAAGCTGGGATAAAGCTTTTTTCCTTTGTAATGCCTGCTAAAAAGAGTGTGAGTTGTTTGTCTATCCTTTCTTTTTATAATGAAATTAACAATTTTAGGACACAGTTGTACTTAAGAGAACAAATTGTCAATTTTTTGAAAGCCTGTTTGAAAGGAGATATCTTAACCAGAAATCATTTCTCTTTTCATTAGAGAAAATCTCCAGGAACCTGTATTTAAGAGAGTATTTTAGTTCAAATTTTTATGTCAGTTCCAGATAACTGCAAGTATACTTCCCATTGATCATTCTGAATTAATGAAGTTTTTCCTAGTGAGTTCTTCATATTATAGCAAAGTGGTAGGGAAAGCCTATGTGGTGATAAATATAAGACTTAACTGATGTTTAATTTTTTTAACCAAAAGCCCCTATAACTTTTTTGAATAGTCGTGTGTCTTGATTACCAACTCACTCTGTCTTTGCTGTATGCCGTATTAAATACCAATTCCATATTACTTTTCACTTGTTTAAAGCATTTGTTTTTTTCTGATTCTCACTAAGAGTAGCTTTAAGGACTTAGTTATAAAGAATCGTGGATCAGTATAAAAAGTAAAACAAACTCTACTACTTTGAATACATTTTGGTGGATATTCTAAAACTCATGTTTTTGAAAAGTTAAGAAATGCCTCAACCCCTTTTTTCTTTTTTTTTTTTTCTTGGTGTCTACACTTGAATGGAATTGAGATGAGGGAAAGTAGCCCTTTCTTAAACAGTTAAGCTTCTCAGTGTCTCATACTTAACCTCCTGGAAGCCTATAGTTGAGAGAGAGGGGGAAAAAAAAAAGAAAAGCCACCTTGTACACTAATCTAAAAACACATTTTGAACTTCTGGCAGGATCAGTAGGACAAGAGCTTTTCCAGAGAAGGGTTCACACTCCTGGAGTTTTACCGGAGAAGACTTCAATATTTGAAACAGACTATCTGATAAAACTGATTCTATCTACCATTAGAACATATTGAAGGACTTAAAAGGAGAATTGACAGCATCACACAATATATCCATGTAAGAAACCTGCACATGAACCTCCTGAATCTAAATTTTTTTTTTTAATGAGAGTTGATGGTATACCATCTTGGAGTGTTGTGATGCATGCCAAAATCAATGAGTTCATCTTCAACATATTGAAGTTCTTACTTTCAGTTTGGTCTTAGGAGTGCCAGTTGCTTAATCAGGATAAAGTACAGTGACTTAATTACAATGCCAAAACAGATAGGAAAATTAAATTCAAAATCTTAACTCTTACATTTATGGATGCTATTATTGTCCCTACCAGTAGATATATTCTTATATTGGTAATACTTCAAATAACATGCAAGTCAACTTACAGGTTCATTTGATTTTGTTCTGTTCTTTGATTTCCCACAAAAGTTGAAATCACATTTCTACCACCTAAAATAGAAATTCCTTGAGGATAAGAAGGAATATTTTACATATTTTTATCTCCAGCAACTAGAACAATGATGATTATATTATTGAATGACACTTTATAAAAAGGTCAAAATTTAGAAAATAGTTATCTAAAATATGGGGGTTAACTTTATTTTGATGAACATTTGAGGTAAATTATGTATTGTCTGGAATCTATTTTCTGCCTAAAAGATTTCATACAATATAGAGTTTTGTTTAATGAAACTTTTTATATCATGGCAAATGGCCCATACTAATTAAGGCTTTGCTAATTTAGTTTCAACAAATTCTACAAAATAGAAAAGTCTGTAAGATGAGTCTCATATCCTGAGTCAGTTACTGTTTACCAGAAATACTGGTTTAGTTCAATGTTTGACTTTTATCCATAACTGACTATAAACTGTTTTTGTCTGAATCTACTAAATTTTTTCACTATCTTGATCTTATTTCTCCTGAAATCATCTGTGAAGCCGAAGTTTCAGATACATACCTGTAACAAAAGACATGATTATAATGCCTTATATTTTATGAAATTGGTATTTTCAAAGCACTTTGTAACATTTGTCTTCACAACCCCCATGAAATAGAAAGAGATGTGATTTGTCCAAAATTAAATGGCTAATATGTATCAGTTGTGATACTATTGTATAGCTCAGGTGCTATGAAGTCTTATCAAGTAATTTGTTTCTATACCATGAACTTTCCTGGATACATCACTTCTTTAATAGTGCTTTTCTAACTTGCTTTCCCGTTTTTCACATGGTTTCAAACCTTTTCCACTGTCTAGCAAACTCTTTCTTCACCTTTCATCCACTGCATATGACTCTTGGTTTAAAGAAGTAGAAGCCAGGTCATCTGGCCTACCAGAGATTCAGAGAAATGCTGCAGAGAGTAGTCAGTCTTTTTCAGTGCATAATTGGGCTGGCAAGAAAAGGCCAGAAACTACCAAAAAAAAAAAAAAATGCAGAATGATAAAATATCACACAAATGTGTGTCTTGGGGGTAGGGCAGGAGTGGTTTTCAGCTGCCTCCTGTTAGCCTACTGCCCAGATTTTAATTTTGTGTGTTGAAGGTGTAGGGAGGTGTCGTTGCAGGCTGTGCCTTGCAGTGAGGTCTTATAAAAGACTTCATCCCCTCCAGCATAATGCCAGAATCCTTTAAGTGTACACCTTCAGTGGATCAGCTAGGAAAATAAGCAGGTCCTCAGAGCTAGATAGGGGGTACAAATTGGTAAATAAGTCTTCCCTGGGAATGCAAAATAAGCTCATTCTTGCACAAGTTTGAAGCCTAAATTCACATCAGTTCTGTGATTGAGAGGAGCAGACTGGGGGGTTTCAGGAGATCTAACTTGAAAACATAAAGTTATCCTTGCTTGATACTAACCTCAAGGAGCTGTAAGAAGCAGATGCAAAGCATCTGTGGAAGAATGTACTTTAAACCCAGACTTCTGACAGATAAAATTCCAAAAAACATGGGTTCAGAATAAAAAATCACACTGGGGAATTGCAGATGTCAGAATTATTAAATACATAGTACACAATAATTAATCATTTATGAATTAAACACTGTTGAAATACAAAAAATTGGCACATTTGGAAATCATTTTTTAATGAAAAAATTAAAAACTGAAATGGATGGTTAAACAGATTAAACACAGTTAAAAAGAAATAAGTGAACTAGAAGATCTTAGGAAAAAAAATCACTCGGGATATAGCCCAGAGAAATAAAAGATGGAAGATACAACCAATGGGTGAAGAGAGAATGAGGATATAATGAGCAGGTCCAACATATGTGTAATTGGAATTATAGAGAAATTATTCAAAGGGAAAATAAGAGTTTACGCAAATTTATTAAAGACATCCAAGTTTCAGATCCAGAAAGCCCAACAAATCCAAGGTGGGCTTTGTGAAAACATATTTAAAGTACACTTGAAAACACTGACCTGGTGCAGTGGCTCACGCCTCTAATCCCAGCACTTTGGGAGGCCAAGGCAGGCAGATACAAGGTCAGGAGATCGAGACCCTCCTGGCTAACATGGTGAAACCCCGTCTCTACTAAAAATATAAAAAATTAGCCCAGCATGGTGGCACGCGCCTGTAGTTCCAGCTACCCGGGAAGAGAGAGAGAAGGCAGGAGAATCATTTGAACCTGGGAGGTGGAAGTTGCAGTGAACCGAGATCACACCACTGCACTCTAGCCTGGCGACAGAGCAAGACTCCATCTCAAAAACAAAAACAAAAAACCTTCAAAATCAATGTGATAAAAGCCATATGTGTAGTGTAAAGCAGAAAATCATATGATCATCTCAATAGATGCAGAAAGAAGAATTTGACAAAATTCAACCATAGATGATTTTTTAAAATTAACTTTTAGTAAATGAGGGAAAAGGGGGAATTTTTTCAGTCTAATAAAAAGCATCTTCAAAAAGCCTATAGCTGATATTATACTTAAATATTGGCAGCATATTACCTAGGAGAAGAACAAAGTACTTCACAACATTGTGCTGGAAGTCTTAGCCATTGCAATAGGCAAGGGAAAGAAAAAGGTTCGAAAATTAGAAAAACAGAAGTAAAATTGTCTCTATTTGTAGGTGACACAATTTCTTAGGTCAAAAATCCTAATCTACAGATAGCTACAGGAAGTAATATTTAAGCTTATAGGATATAACTTTTTATATACTAGCAGAAAACAATTAGAAAAATGAAATATAAAAATTCCACTTGGCAGGGCATGGTAGCTCACGCCTTTAATCTCAGCGCTTTGGGAGGCCGAGTTGGGAGGATCGCTTTAGCTCAGCAGTTCATGACCAGCCTGGGCAACATAGACCTCATCTCTACAAAAAAATAAAAAATTAGCCAGGTGCAGTGGCATGTGCCTGTAATTCCAGCTACTTGGGAGGCTGAGGTGGGAGGATCACTTGAGTCCAGGAGATAGAGGCTGCAGTGAGCCAAGGTTGCACCACTGCACTCCAGCTTGGGCGACAGAACAAGACCCTGTTTCAAAAACAACAATTCTACATGCAATAGTGTCAAAAAATTAAAATATTTAGGAATAAATAAAAGATGTGCAAGACCTCTACAAGGAAAACTACAAAACATTATTGAGAGAAATTAAAGAGGCCTCAGTGAGTGGAAAAATATACCCTGAAAAGCTCATTGCTTTTAAGGTGTTATTTCTCCCTTAATTTGACCTATAAATTCAATGCAATTCCTATTAAAATTTTTGCAGGATATTTTGGTAGCTGTTGCCAAGATGGTTTTAAAATATGCGTGGACATACGAGGGACTTAGTGTAGCTGAAACAATTTTGTAAAAGAAGGACGAAGTTGAAGGATCGCACTACTTGAAGAGTAACTGTAAAGCTACAGTAATCAAGAGAGTGTAATGCTGGGGAAAAGATAGACATATAGATCAGTGGAGCAGGATAGAGAATCCAGAATTAGACCCACATATATATAGTCAACTGATTTTTTTCCCCAAAAGTGCCAAGGTAATTTAGTGGGGAAAAGTTTTGTCAACTAATAATTCCAAAATAATTGAATATTCGTATGGGAAAAATGAACATTGATTGTTACCTCACACCATAGAATGTACTTGACATAGATCATAGACCTAACTGTAAAAGCTAAAATTTGTAGAAGACAGAAGATGTTTTCTTGGAGGAGGCAAAGGTTTTGCAGTAAACAAAAAGGCATGAACCAAAATTGACAAATGAGACTTTATCAAAATTTAAAACTTTTGTTTTTTGCAAGACAAATAAGAGGCAAGCCACAGACTGGGAGGAAATATTTGCAGCACATGTATCTGGCAAAGTACGTTTATCCAAAACATAAAGAACTTATAACTCAATAAGAAAATCCAGTAAAAATGAACAAAGGATTTGAACAGATACTTCACAAAAAAGATATATGCATAGCCAAGAAACACAAGAAGAGATGCTCAAGGTTATTAGTTATTAGGAAAACAAAAATTACACTCACGTTGAACTACCACTAGACATTGATTAGCAGGACTAAAATTTAAAAGACTAACCACACCAACTATTGGCCAAAATGTGGATTAATTGGAACTCCTACACTGATGATAGGAATGTGAAGTTTTACAACCACTTTGGAAAACAGTTTAGCAGTTGTTAAACATAAGCCTGTCATAAAATCTAGCTGTTACAGAAGCCAGGCGTGGTGGCACAGGCCTATGGTCCCAGCTACTCAGGAAACTGAGGCAGGAGGATCACTTGAGCCCAGCAGCTCAAGACCAGCCTGGGCAGCATAGCAAGACCCTGTCTCAAAACAAAACTTATGGAGAAAAATCTAGCCATTATAGATATTTACCCAAGAGAAATGAAAGCATATGTTCCTATAAAAACTTGAACATGGATGTACATAATAGCTTTATTCACAAAAACTCCACTGAAATTAACCCAGATGTTCATCAGAAATGAATGAATGAACAAAATATACCAATACAAAGGAATACCACTCAGTAGTAAAAGCAAAGGAACAAACTACTGACACAACAACGTGGATTAATCTCAAAATCAGTATGCTGAATGAAGGAAGCCAGGGAAAGATGAGCTCACACTGTATCATTTCATTTATATTAAATTTTAGAAAGTGCAAACCTATGGTCACAAAAAGCAGATCACTAGTTTCCTAGGGTCTGGAGCAGAAGGGAGGACTTACAAAAAGAGGGCAGGGTGAAATTTAGTGGGTGGGGAGATACTCTGTATTTGATTGTGATAGTTTCAAAGGTTGTACAGCTTTCTCAAAACTCAGAATTGTACACCTTAAATGCATGCAGTGTATTGTATATAAATTATATTTCAATGAAGTTGATTTTAAAAATTTCAGGGCTTTGCAATTTACTCCAAGAATAAAAGCTGAAGCAGGGAAGAAATGTACAACCTGCAGCTCCATCATCTAATTTATGTTAGAAAGCTAATCATCTAATTTATGTTAGAAAAAGAACAGGATAAATCCAAAGGAGATGAATCTTAAGAGTAATAAAATAGAAAAAACAAAGCAGGGAAGAAATGTACAACATGCAGCTCCATCATTTATCAGCTCTATGTAACTTGGTTAAGTTAGTTGGGTAAATTACTTACCTTTTCTGTGCCTATTTTCCTTCTTATAAAAATTAGAATAATAATACCTGCCTCATAGAATTACTGTGAAAATTATATACTTCATATAAAATGTTTGGGACATGGTAGTACTATTGATTGTTGGCTATTATTAAATTTTAAATAACTGGGATTTCATAGTCTACATTCTCACACTCCTAAAACAAGCCAGAATTCAGTAACAAAAATAACTTGTAAAGCTGAGCATGGTGGCACGTGTCTGTAGTCTCAGCTACTCAGGAGGCTGAGGCAGGAGGATCACTTGAGCCCAGGAGATTGAGTCCAGGCCTAGGCAATGTATCGAGACCCTGTCTCTTAAAAAACAGCAAACAAAAAACAACTATTAAAGGTTCATTTAGAAATGTTTAAAACAGTTATGAACAACATGGGTAAAGGAAGAAATTCCAATGGCATTTAAGAATACTATATGATAATAAAAATACTATATATCAGAACTTGAATTATGCAGCTAGGTTAGCATGTAGAACTAAATTTACAACCTGGAATATTTACATTAGAAGAAAACATTTAATAAGCTAATCATCTAATTTATGTTAGAAAAATAACAGGATAAATCCAAAGGAGATGAATCTTAAGAGTAGTAAAATAGAAAAAACAAAGAGGTTTGATAAAGCCAAAAGCTACCTAATACCTTTCTTCATAATCAAACTTCTTTCAGAGGTGACCATGAATATATCAACATTTTCTCACTTCTCCAGCTTCTCTAATCTGCCTTCCCCCCATCAGTCTACAAAATAGTTGTTGCCTATGGCTCACAGTGACCTTCATGTCAATAAGTTCATTAGACATTTTTCAGTCCTCATTCAAATTAACTTCTCAGCAGCAATTGACCCCCCATATCTTTCCCCTTATCACTGGCTAGCACATTGAATAGCATTCTCCTAATTTTTTTGTTACCTTGATAGCTTCTTTGTAAGCTCATGTGCCTGTCTTGCCATCAGAGAGGTTGAGATTTCTAAACACTTAAACCTAGATCCCCTCTTCTTTCCAAGTGATCACATCCACTTTCGTGACATCATGCCACTTAAAAACAGATGACTCACACTTATCTCCGATCCTTACTCACCCATACTACTCTGAGCTGGCTCTGTAGATTCTGCACTGATTTGACATCTTCATGGTATCTGATGCACTCAGATTCAACATGATCTTTCTTCCTCCTCTCCCACCCTACACCTATATGCATCAAAACCTGGTTCTTGAACCAGGCACAGTTCTGCCTGTAATCCCAGCAACTTGGGAGGCTGAGGTGGCAGCATCACTTGAGCCCAGGAGTTCGAGGCTGCAGTAAGCAATGTTTGCGCCACTGTACTCCAGCCTGGATTACAGAGCAAGATCCCAACTCAAAAACACACACACACACAACTTGGTTCTCCTCTTTTGTTCCCCATTTCCGTGACTAGTATTTATATCCAATTATCTATATAATTCAGAAACGTGAGTCCTTCTCAATATTCTTTCTCCCTCATTACGCACATTCACTGCATCACCAAATCCTGTTACCTCCTAACATCTCTTAAGTCCATTCACTTCTTCCCTTCAAAATGCCTGGTCCAGGCTACTAGCATGTATTGACTAGTCCATGGCAGTTAGCCTTCTAATTGGTGTGTCTGTATACCCTGGCCCCCACAGGCCCATTCTCCACAGTGTTGCCAGAGTTTTTTGGAACAAAAATCTATTATAAAAGCCCCACCCAACCAGGCACGGTGGCTCACACCCGTAATCCCAGCACTTTGGGAGGCCAAGGCAGGCAGATCACGAGGTCAGCAGTTTGAGACCAGCCTGGCCAATATGGTGAAACCCCATCTCTACTAAAAAATACAAAAATTAGCTGGGTGTGGTGGCACACACCTCTAGTCTCAGCTACTCGGGAGGCTGAGGCAGGAGAATTGCTTGAACCTGGGAGGCAGAGGTTGCAGTGAGCCGAGATCGCATCACTGCACTCCACCCTGGGCAACAGAGTGAGACTTCGTCTCAAAAAAAAAAAAAAAAAAGCCCCACTCCTAGATTTCTCCATTGGATCTAGTTACTCATTAGAATAGAGAGAGTTCTATGTATACTACAAGTCACTTCATGGTTCCAGCCTAATTTCAAACTATGCTCCTCATTCCTCACCATTCCAGCCACATTAAACATTATTTTAGTCCTCTACTTGCCATATTCCTTCTGCCACAGAGCCATTCCATATTCTTTTCCTGCTACTTAGAATGTTCTTTCCTCCTCCTTTGCTTAGTTAACTCTCAACTCCAGGGCACAGTGCTTCTTCAAGGAAGCCTTCACTCAACTACTCAAGTTAGATTCCAAAATTATAGACTAGTAGAGGAGCATTATGCTGCTCTTCTTCATATCATTTGCACAGTTGGAATTTTATATTTGTGTGACTTTTTTGTGTGAGCTTACTAGATTGGTAAGCACTATAGGAATAAGGACCAAGTCTGTTCTTGCTGTATTAGGTATTGGTACCTAATTTAACATCTGATGTGTATTAGGTGTTCAGTAAATATTGAATGAAGTTCTTGTTCACCATATCCCAAATAGCATAGTGAGGAGGAATCCCTGAATATATAATTTCACAGCAGAATTTGGTCTACCCTTTTCTTCCTTCTCTTTTCCCACTTATCTACCTCCTCCCTTCAAAAAAAAAATGCTTGCTTTAAAACAAAAGTCCCAAAATCAGATGCCTAGAGGGACCTGAATGCTACAACCTCGGAGAGAGAATAGGGGAGTGTTGGTGTTTGTGGTGAATCGGAAAGCACGTGTTTAAAGAGGACAATCACATTAATTCAGTTCCAGCTATGAGATTACATTGTCAAATCATCTGATTTTTCAAGAGAAATCACAAATTTGAATTTCTTAAAATGAGAAATCTACTTTTTAAATAATGACGGGATTTTCAAGTATGTTAAAAATACTGTAGGCTAATACCGAATAAGCTAAGCAAAACTTTTGTGGATCAAACCGAAACCATGGGCTATTTTCTTCTCCTCCTCTTCCTCCTCCTTCTCATAGGAATAAAACAACTAAATATAATCCTGTCTTTATAATTTCCATATACCAAGCTTTAATTATATTTAATACCCATCAAAGTTAGTTAAAATGAACTCTGAGTAATTTATACCTTATGGAAAAATTACGGTGTTCTAAGTCTGACCAAATGTGTAGAAAGTACCATATTATCTTTGGATATGCCATCTATGTCTGCTTTGCCCCACTATACTACATATTGCTTTAGATCAGCCACTATTTTACATTTATTTCAAAAGAAATTTTGCATACCCTTCAACACCTAGCACTGTTATATATGTGGTCAGTGCTTAATGACTTGGAGTAAATTAGTGGTAAAGTAAGGGAATTTAAAAGTAGCATTTTCTTCTTTCCACCTCCACAAACAAAATCAGAATCTAACTTCATGGAACATTTCATCTAATTTGTTTTAAATAAAGACAAACTTCTAAAAATTAAGTGTCCTTGTAATCTTATTATTTTAACTTTGGTAAAGGGGTATGTTTAAGATAGTACATCATGAATGGCCCTGAACAAGGAATCTGGGAACCAGAATTCTAGTCCAAATTCTGCTTTATATGAATAATTGATATTTGCAAATCATTATTTTTCTGGGCCAGTTGTATAATTTGTAAAGTGGTTAGTCTCAGTGATATCTAAGATACCTTGAATTCTAGTATGCTGATACTAATAAAGCAATGCAGAATTTGAGAATTTTTGCTTAAACTCCTTAGTACCTAGTTCTGTGATCTAATACAGTATCTCAATTCTGTCTCTGAGATATAGATGCCAGTTAAACAGAGTTATACATAACACGTTAAAACTGATCAAAATTTATTTAGGACCCAGGGATCATCATCCTTCTAGAATAATATTTCAAATTTGTACCTTCTCTTCTCTTACAAAAACTCAATTACAGCTACCATTTTCATTAGCATATTAATCACACTCTACAATTTGTTTTTCCAGCCTCAGTCTTCTCAGAGTATAAAAAAGCTTAAATATTTTCTTAAAAATTTGTACTCTCCTCAGCTACTATGTAGGATCCAGTCATTTGAGCTGGTTTGAGGTGGTGTAGTGTATACTCTAAGGAGAATATAAACTTTTATCCCTTTATAGCCCTATTTTAGGTTGTTTCATTGGTCAGGAGCCCCTTGTATTTTTTCTCTCTCCAAGAGCTTTTGTGGAAGAGAAAGTTCAATGTGAGGGCTGAGGCTGTTAAGTGCCCAATTGGCATTTTTTTAAAAAATCTATTCTGAAAAGAATGGGACATTAAACAGCAGGACTGACAGCAGTAACTTAAGTCAGAATAGAGCATATATACTTGGCAGTAGCAGGAAATCCTTTTGCCCAAAGTAGAAAAAGTGATATGATTACCTGCTAGGAGCATTATACATACGTTTTTAGACATGAATTAACAGGCTAGAATCAGTCATGGTTAAAGGCACCTACATTTTTAAATGGATGGTAGATTTTCCAGGTTTTGTAAACTGGATGTTATAGGGATACCATTAGAACACTGGATACAGGCCAGGTGCAGTGGCTCACGCCTGTAATCCCAGCACATTGGGAGGCTGAGGCGGGTGGATCATCTGAGGTCAGGAGTTTGAGACCAGCCTGGCCAACATGGTAAAACCCTGACTCTACTAAAAATACAAAAAATTAGCTGAGCATGGTGGTGTGTACCTGTAATCTCAACTACTTGGGAGGCTGCGGCAGGAGACTCACTTGAACCCGGGAGGTGGAGGTTGCAGTGAGCCAAGATCACACCACTGCACTCCAGCCTGGGTGACAAAGTGAGACACCGTCTGAAAAAAAAGAAAAGAACTCTGGATATGGAGGTATTAGGTAGTTAAGAACTTGGGCACTGGAGTCCCATTCCTTGGACCCTTGCTAAGTGACCTTAAGTGCGTAACTTCTCTGTATCATAGTTTCTCCATCTGTACCTACCTCATGGGGTTGTGAAGTTAAATAGAATAATACTTTAAATAGCAGAACATAATAAGACTCAAATGGTAGCTATTATTATTTTAGAAAAAAAGAAAAGAGCATCTCTAAAATTAAGATTTTCCTCTGCCACCTTTCTTACATATAAACTTTAGACAATATGATAAACACTTTTTCTAATTTATGGTAATATTTGAGATACCTTTATTTCTTTACTGTATGATTAAGATAGGTTTGTAGGTATTCTCACCTTTTAGGTCATGGATTTGTCCTAAACCACATTAGAAATTAGAAGGATTGGAAGGCAGGTCTTCTGACTACACTGCTTTTTCTGTCGTACTCTAGAATAAGCAGTTGTAAGCTATTGTCAGCGTTCATCACTGCTTACATTCAGATTGTTCTTTTTTTTTTTGGTTTTTTTTTTTTTTTGAGACAGAGAATCGCCCTGTTACCCAGTCTCTTGTGCAGTGGCGTGATCTCTGCTCACTGCAACCTCTGCTTCCCAGGTTCAAGTGATTTATCTGCCCCAGCCTCCCGAGTAGCTGGGATTACAGGTGCGTGCCTCCACGCCTGGCTAATTTTTGCATTTTTAGTAGAGACAGGGTTTCACCATGTTGGTCAGGCTGGTCTCGAACTTCTGACCTCGTGATCTGCCCGCCTGGGTCTCCCAAAGTGCTGGGATTACAGGCGTGAGCCACCGCGCCTGGCTGAGATTGTTCTTAAGAAATCCAGATTAACTACCTGGTGGCTGGCAAGATGGCCAAATAGGAACAGCTCCAGTCTGCAGCTCCCAGGGAGATCCCAGGGAGATCAGCGCAGAAGGTGGGTGATTTCTGCATTTCCAACTGAGGTACCTGGCTCATCTCATTGGGACTGGTTAGACAGTGGGTGCAGCCCATGGAGGGTGAGCAGAAGCAGGGTGGGGCGTCACCTCACCCGGGAAGCCCAAGGGGTCAGGGAACTCCCTCCCCTAGTCAAGGAAAGCCATGAGGGACTCTGCCTTGAAAAATGGTGCATTCCAGCTCAGATACTATGCTTTTTCCACGGTCTTCCCAACCTGCAAACCAGGAGATTCCCTTGGGTGCCAACACCACCAGGGCCCTGGGTTTCAAGCACAAAACTGGTTGGCTGTTTGGGTGGACACTGAGCTAACTGCAGGAGTTTTTTTTTCATACCCCGGTGGCACCTGGAACACCAGCGAAACAACCGTTCACTCCCCTGGAAAGGGGGCTGAAGCCAGGGAGCCAAGTGGTGTAGCTCAGTGGATCCCACTCCCATGGAGCCCAGCAAGCTAAGATCCACTAACTTGAAATTCTTGCTACCAGCACAGCGAGACCTGAGACACTGGAGCTTGGTGGGGGGAGGGGGCATCCGCAATTACTGTGTAGAGTAGGCGATTTTCCCCTCAGGGTGTAAACAAAGCCACCTGGAAGTTAGAACTGGGCGGAGCCAACCGCAGCTCAGCAAAGCCAATGTAGCCAGACTGCCTCTGTAGATTTCTCCTCTCTGAGCAGGGCATCTCTGAAAGAAAGGCAGCAGCCCCAGTCAGGGGCTTATAGAGAAAACTCCCATATCCCTGGGACAGGGCACCTGGGGGAAGGGGCGGCTGTGGGCACAGCTTCAGCAGACTTAAACATTACTGCCTGCCGGCTCTTAAGAGAGCAGCGGATCTCCCAGCACAGCGCTTGAGCTCTGCTAAGGGACAGACTGCCTCCTCAATTGGGTCCCTGACCACTTTGCCTCCTGACTGGGAGATACCTCCCAGCAAGGGGCGACAGACACCTTATGCAACAGGAGAGCTCCGGCTGGCATCTGATGGGTGCCCGTCTGGGACGAAGCTTCCAGAGGAAGGTACAGACAGCAATCTTTGCTGTTTGGCAGCCTCCGCTGGTGATACCCAGGCAAACAGGGTCTGGAGAGGACCTCCAGCAGACCTGCACCGGAGGGGCCTGACTGTTAGAAGGAAAACTAACAAACAGAAAGGAATGGCATCAACATCAACAAAAAAGGACATCCATGCAAAAACCCCATCTGAAGAGCACTGGCGTCAAAGACCAAAGGTAGGTAAATCCATGAAGATGAGGAAAAACCAGTGCAGAAAGGCTGAAAATTCCAAAAAAAAAAAATGCATCTACTCCTCCAAAGGATCACAACTCCTCACCAGCAAGGGAACAAAACTGGATGGAGAATGAGTTTGACAAATTGACAGAAGTAGGCTTCAGAAGGTGGATAATAACGAACTCCTCCAAGCTAAAGGAGCATGTTCTAACCCAATGCAAGGAAGCTAAGAACCTTGAAAAAAGGTTAGAGGAATTGCTAGCCAGAATAACCAGTTTAGAGAAGAACATAAATGACCTGATGGAGCTGAAAAACAGCATGAGAACTTCGTGAAGCATACACAAGTATCAATAGTCAAATCTATCAAGCAGAAGAAAGGATATCAGAGATTGAAGATCAACTTAATGAAATAAAGCGTGAAGACAAGATTAGAGAAAAAAGAATGAAAAGGAATGAACAAAGCCTCCAAGAAATATGGGACTATGTGAAAAAGACCAAACTTATGTTTGATTGGTGTGCCTGAAAGTGAAGGGGAGAATGAAAACACTCTTCAGGATATTATCCTGAAGTGGGAAAACACTCTTTAGGATATTATCCTGAAGTGGGAAAACACTCTTCAGGATATTATCCACGAGAACGTCCCTAACCTAGCAAGACAGCCAACATTCAAATTCAGGAAATGCAGAGAACACCACAAAGATACTCCACAAGAAGAGCAATGCAAGACACATAATCATCAGTTTCACCAAGGTTGAAATGAAGGAAAAAATGTTAAGGGCAGCTAGAGAGAAAGGTCGGGTTACCCACAAAGGGAAGCCCATCAGACTAACAGCATATCTCTCTGCAGAAACCCTATAAGCCAGAAGAGAGTGGGGGCCAATATTCCAACATTCTTGAAGAAAAGAATTTTCAACCCAGAATTTCATATCCAGCCAAACTAAGCTTTGTAAGTGAAGGAGAAATAAAATCCTTTACAGACAACCAAATGCTGAGAGAGTTTGTCACCACCAGGCCTGCCTTACAAGAGCTTCTGAAGGAAGCACTAAATATGGAAAGGAACAACCGGTAGCAGCCACTGCAAAAACATACCAGATTGTAAAGACCATCGACCCTATGAAGAAACTGCATCGACTAACGGGCAAAATAACCAGCTAGCATCATAATGACAGGATCACATTCACACATAGCAATATTAACCTTAAATGTAAACGGGCTAAATTACCCAATTAAAAGACACAGACTGGCAATTTGGATAAAGAGTCAAGACCCATTGATGTCCTATATTCAGGAGACCCGTCTCACCTGCAAAGACACATATAGGCTAAAAATAAAGGGATGGAGGAATATTTACCAAGCAAATGGAAAGCAAAAAAAAGCAGGGGTTGCAATCCTAGTCTCTGATAAAGCAGACTTTAAACCAACAAAGATCAAAAAGGACAAGGGCATTACATAACGCTAAAGGGATCAATTAAACAAGAAGAGCTAACCTAAATATATATGCACCCAATACAGGAACACCCAGATTCATAAAGCAAGTTCTTAGAGACCTACAAAGAGACTTAGACTCCCACACAATAATAGTGGGAGACTTTAACACCCCACTGTCCATATTAGACAGATTAACGAAACAGAAAATTAACAAGGATATTCAGGACTTGAACTCAGTTCTGAACCAAGCAGACCTAATAGACAGCTACAGAATTCTCCACCCCAAATCAACGAAATATACATTCTTCTCAGCACCGCATCACACTTATTCTAAAATTGACCACGTAATTGGAAGTAAAACATTCCTCAGCAAATGCAAAAGAACGGAAATCATAAACAGTCACTCAGACCGCAGTGCAATCAAATTAGAACTCAGGATTAAGAAACTCACTCAAAACTGCACAACTACATGAAAACTGAACAACCTGCTCCTGAATGACAACTGGGTAAATAACAAAATGAAGGCAGAAGTGAATAAGTTCTTTGAAACCAATGAGAATAAACACACATCATACCAGAATCTCTGGGACATAGCTAAAGCAGTGTTTAGAGGGAAATTTATAGCACTAAATGCCCACAGGAGAAAGCAGGAAAGATCTAAAATTGACACCCTAATGTCACAACTAAAAAGAACTAGAGAGAGGCCGAGGCGGGTGGATCATGAAGTCAGGAGTTTGAGACCAGCCTGGCCAACATAGTGAAACCCCGTCTCTACTAAAAATATAAACAATTAGCTGGGTGCAGTGGCAGGCATCTGTAATCCTGGCTACTTGGGAGGCTGAGGCAGGAGAATCACTTGAACCCGGGAGGTGGAGGTTGCAGTGAGCCAAGATTGCGCCATTGCACTCCAGGGGGCCGTGTGAGACTCCATCTCAAAAATATTAATAACAAAAGATCCAGAGAAGCAAGAGCAAACAAATTCAAAAGCTAGCAGAAGACAAGAAATAACTAAGATCAGAGCAGAACTGAAGGAGATAGAGATACGAAAAAACCTTCAAAAAATCAATGATTCCAGGAGCTGGTTTTCTGAAAAGATTAACAAAATAGACCACTAGCCAGACTAATAAAGAAGAAAAGAAAGAGGAATCAAATAGACACAGTAAGAAATAATAAAGGGGATATCATCACCGATCCCATAGAAATACTGACTGCCATCAGAGAATACTGCAAACACCTGTACACAAATAAACTAGAATATCCAGAAGAAATGGATAAATTCCTGGACACATACACCCTCCCAAGACTAAACCAGGAAGAAGTCAAATCCCCGAGTAGACCAATAACAACTTCTGAAATTGAGGCAATAATTAATAGTCTACCAACCAAGAAAAGCCCAGGACCAGACGGATTCACAGCCAAACTTTACCAGAGGTACAAAGAGGAGCTGGTACCATTCCTTCTGAAACTATTCCAATCAATAGAAAAAGAGGGATTCCTCCCTAACTCATTTTATGAGGCCAGCATCATCCTGATACCAAAACCTGGCAGAGACACAACAAAAAAGGAAAATTTCAGACCAATATCCCTGATGAACATCAATGTGAAAATCCTCAATAAAATACTGGCAAACCAAATCCAGCAGCACATCAAAAAGCTTATCCACCACAATCAACTGGGCTTCATCCCTGGAATGCAAGGCTGGTTCAACATATGCAAATCAATAAACATAATTCATCACATAAACAGAACCAATGACCAAAACCACATAATTATCTCAATAGATGCAGAAAAGGTCTTTGATAAAATTCAACACCCCTTCAAGCTAAAGATTCTCAATAAACTAGGTATTGTTGGAATACTTCTCAAAACAGTAAGAGCTATTTATGACAAACCCACAGCCAATATCATACTGATTGGGCAAAAGCTGGAAGCACTTCCTTTGAAACTGGCACAAGACAAGGATGTCCTTTCTCTCCCCTCCTATTCAACATAGTATTGGAAGTTCTGGCCAGGACAATCAGCCAAGATAGAAAAATAAAGGACATTCAAATAGGAAGAGAGGAAGCCAAATTGTATATGTTTGCAGATGACATGATTGTATACTTAGAAAACCCCATTGTCTCAGCCCAAAATCTCCTTAAGCTGACAAGCAACTTCAGCAAAGTCTCAGGATACAAAATCAATGTGCAAAAATCACAAGCATTCCTATACACCAATAATAGAGAACTCCCATGTATAATTGCTACAAAGAGAATAAAATACCTAGGAATACAACCTACAAGGGATGTGAAGGACCTCTTCAAGGAGAACTACAAACCACTGCTCAAGGAAATAAGAGAGGATGCAAACAAATGGAAAAACATTGCATGCTCATGGATAGAAGAATCAATGTCGTGAAAATGGCCATACTGCCCAAAGCAATATCTAGATTAAGTGCTATCCCCATCAAGCTACCATTGACTTTCTTCACAGAATTAGAACAAACTATTTTAAATTTCATATGGAACCAAAAAAGAGCCCATATAGCCAAGACAATCCTAAGCAAAAAGAACACAGCTGGAGGCATCATGCTACCTGACTTCAAACTATACTACAAGGCTACAGTAACCAAAACAGCATGGTACTTATACCAAAACAGATATATAGACCAATGGAACAGAACAGAGACATCAGAAATAACGACACATGTCTACAACCATCTGATCTTTGACAAACCTGATGAAAGCAAGCAATGGGGAAAGGATTCCCTATTTAATAAATGGTGTTGGGAAAACTGGCTAGCCATATGCAGAACACTGAAACTGGACCCCTTCCTTACACCTTATACAAAAATTAACTCACGATGGATTGAAGACTTAAACGTAAGACCTAAAACCATAAAAACCCAAGAAGAAAACCTAGGCAATACCATTCAGGACATAGGGATGGGCAAAGACTTTATGACCAAAACACCAAAAGCAATGGCAACAAAAGCCAAAGTTGACAAATGGGATCTAATTAAACTAAAGAACTTCTGCACAGCAAAAGGAACTATCATCAGAGTGAACAGGCAACCTACAGAATCGGAGGAAATTGTTGCAATCTATCCATCTGACAAAGGGCTAATATCCAGAATTTACAAGGAACTTATACAAATTTATAAGAAAAAAGCAACCCCATCAAAACATGGGCAAAGGATATGAACAGACACTTCTCAAAAGAAGACATTTATGTGGCCACAAACATATGAAAAAAAGCTCATCATCACTGGTCATTAGAGAAATGCAAATCAAAACCACAATGAGATACCATCTCATGCCAGTTAGAATGGCAATCATTAAAAAGTCAGGAAACAACAGATGCTGGAGAGCATGTGGAGAAATAGGAACACTTTTACACTGTTGGTGGGAGTGTAAATTAGTTCAACCATTGTGGAAGACAGTGTGGCGATTCCTCAAGGATCTAGACCAGTAATACCATTTGACCTAGCAATCCCATTACTAGATATATACCCAAAGGATTATTAGTCATTCTACTATAAAGACACATGCACACATATGTTTATTGTGGCACTGTTCACATTAGCAAAGACTTGGAACCAACCCAAATGCCCATCAATGATAGACTGGATAAAGAAAATGTGGCACATATACACCATGAAATACTATGCAGCCATAAAAAAGGATGAGTTCATGTCCTTTGCAGGGACATGGATGAAGCTGGAAACCATCATTCTCAGCAGACTAACACAGGAATGAAAACCAAACACTGCACATTCTCATAGGTGGGAGTTGAACAATGAGAACACATGGATACAGGGCGGGGAACATCACACACCGGGGCCTGTCGGTAGGTGGGGAGCTAGCAGAGGGGTAGCATTAGGAGAGATACCTAATGTAGATGACAGGTTGATGGGTGCAGCAAACCACCATGGCACATGTATACTTATGTAACAAACTTGCACGTTCTGCACGTGTATCCCAGAACTGAAAGTATAATTTACAAAAAAATCCAGATTAAAGCAAGCGACATTTCTTCTTTCTTCCGTGGGATATTCTGTTGCTCCTTCTGATACATTCTGCTCCTTTTTCCCCCACCATTATTAGATCTATTTCCTTTGGTGAATCTGGTGCTGCCTCTGTCTTTACAAAAAGCAATTCTGCTGTCTTCCTAGCTCAAAAAGCATGAATGGTTTTATGAAAAATCAGTAATATACAATGGGGGAAGTAGTGTTGGAAAACTTTTTAAAGGACAGCATAGTTTCAGCACAAATGCAGTTTAAATCAGTTTTCTAGGGAGTCTAAATCTATATTGTATGAGACTCTTGGTTCAGGAATAAATTCAATATATTCCTTAAACTTAAAAAACTAAATTATCTTCAATGAAATGTTTATAGTAAACTAATGAACAGTTCATAGTAATTAGTTATATTTTACAGAGATTTTTAGTAACAAAAGCTCACAAATTTTTCTTCTCACCCATAAATTTAATACTTCACTCCTGAAAATTTTAGTTATTTATACTTTTTAAAAATACTTCTACATGGTAGCATGCACCTGTAGTCCCAGCTACTCAGGGGGCTGAGGTTGGAGGATCGCTTGAGCCCAGGAGGCCGAGGCTTCAGTGAGCTATGATCATGCCACTACATTCCAGCTTGGATGACAGAACAAGACCTTGTTTCAATAAAAATGAAAATAAAATATAAAAAATACTTTTAGTTAAGTCGGGCATGTAAAGTTACCTAACAATCTGAAAAACAACACAAAGTGGAGATGTTAAACTGCTCAGTTATTACATTTTACTGAACAGATCCTTTGATTTCTTAATACATTTTCTTGGGCATGTTAATTCTGCAGATCTTGAACAACTAATAACTAGTTGCTGTGACATATAGGTGGAACATTAATAAAGCAGTATTTGTCACCTTAGAAGATTTATGAATTGGGAGAATTAAGCTATACCATCTAAAGATCCAAATGTACAAATATATCAAAGAAAACCAGGATCCCTATGAGCCTTGAATTAGGAGTCAGGACATCTGGGTTGATCCTATTCAATTTCCCGTGTGTGTTCCAGGACAGTCTACTTTAATCTCTAAAGCTCAACTTTGTTATCCATAAAACTAAGTTACTGAACTAAATTTCTAAGGTTTCTCTTAGTCCAGGAGACTTCAGGGACAACCTCCCAGTTATCTTCTCCTAGTGGAGTCTTACAGATAGAGCTTAGTCTCTCACTAAGAAGTTCACATGAGCTGTGTTGTTCGGGGTTTTTACTGGGGGTTGGTCATATAGGCATGGAGCATCCACATGGCTGACTTTACTCAGTCCCCAGCCTCTCCAGAAGTCAAACTGATACTATGTGGCCCAAGGCTGCACCGTAACTCACATTGTTAGCATAAACTATTTGGAATGGCCCAAGGCCCCAGATAAAGAAAGACACTCTTATCAGGCAGACTATTCTACATGTGTACCCTTTGTTTAACTCCCACTTATAAGTGAGAACATCAGTATTTGACTTTCTGTTTCTGAGTTATTTTACTTAGGATAATGGCCTCAAATTCCATCAATGTTGTTGCAATTGATAGAATTTCATACTCGTTATAGCTGAGTAGCATTCCATGGTCCATATATACCACATTTTAATCTAATCATCCATTGATAGACACTTAGGTTGATTCTGTATCTTTGCTATTATGAATAGTGCTGTGATAAATATAGAGTGAAGGTGTCTTTTTGATATAAGAATTTCTTTCCCTTTGGGTATATACCCAGTAGTGGAATTGCTGAATGGAATTATAGTTCCATTTTTAGTTATTTGAGAAATCTTATTGTTTTTCCATTAAGTTGTACTGAAAGAGATAGAGAGCAACGTAATAATACTGGAGGACTTCACTCCACTTACATCACTATATACATCATCGAGGCAGAAAGTCAACAAAGAAACTCTGGACTTAAATTGGACTTCAGACCAAATTAACCTAATAGACGTTTACAGAACATTCTACCCTACAACCACAGAATACACATTCTTCCTACCTGCACATGGAACATTCTCAAAAATTGACCATATGCTGGGCCACAAGGCGAGTCTCAATAAGTTTTTAAAAATGGAAATCATACTAAGCATCTTCTCAGACCACAGTGAAATAAAAATATAAACCAGTACCAACAGGAACTCTCAATACTATGTAAATAGGCTGGGCTCAGTGGCTCACACCTGTAATCCCAGCACTTTGGGAGGCCGAGGCAGGTGGATCACTTGAGGTCAGGAGTTCGAGACCAGCCTGGCCAGTATGGGGAAACCCCATCTCTGCTAAAAATACAAAAACTAGCCAGGCGTGGTGCTGTAGTCCCAGCTACTCTACTCAGGAGGCTGAAGCAGAAGAATCACTTGAACCCGGGGGGCGGAGGTTGCAATAAGCCAAATTCGTGCCACTGCACTCCAGCCTGGGCGACAGAGTAAGACTCCTCAAAAAAAAAAAAAAAAAAAAAAAAAAAAAAGATACCTGGAAATTAAACATCTGCTCCTGAGTGATCTATGGGTAAACAGTGAAATCAAGGCAGAATCAAAATATTTGTTGAAACGAGTGAAAATAGATACCAAAACCTCTGGGATACAGCAAAAGCAGGCTGAAAGGGAAGTTTATAGTGTTAAATGTCTACATAAAAAAGTCATTTCAGATTAACACTAATGTTACACCTCAAGGAACTGGAAAAACAAGAACAAACAAAACCCAAAGCTAGCAGAAAAGAGATCAGAACTGAATGAAATTGAGACCAAACATGCACGCGTGCGCGCGCGCGCACACACACACACACACACACACACGATCAATGAAATGAAAAGTTGATTCTTGGCAAAGACAAACAAAATTGGTAGGCAAACAAAAGAAGAGAGAGGATTCAAATAAGAACAATCAGAAACTATAAAGATCTGATTTTATCTTTAAAATCAGGTAAATTTAAACTTAGGGGTGCAGTGGCTCAAGCATGTAATCCCAGCACTTTGGGAGGCTGAGGCAGGCGGATCGCTTGAACCCAGGAGTTTGAGACCAGCCTGGGCAACATAGCAAAACACCATCTCTACAAAAAAAAAAAAAAAAAATTAGCTGGGCGTGGTGGCATGCACCTGTAAGTCCCAGCTACTGAGGCTGAGGTGGGAGGATCGCTTGAGCCTGGGAGGCAGAGGTTGCAGTGAACTGAGATCGTGCCACTGCGTTCCAGCCTGGGTAACAGAATGAGACCCTGTCTCAAAAAAAAGCAATAAAGGTAATATTACAACTGATACCACAGAAATACAAAGTTTATCAGAGACCACTATGAACATCTCTATACAATTCTGATTTTTTATTATGTATATGTGACTTGTTTTTTCCTTTCTGAAAATAATAGGTTATTCTTTGATTCCAGTGTTCTGAAATTTCATAGTGATGTATCTTCAAATGGGTCTGTTTTCTATCCATTTTGCCGGATATTCAACAAGCCCCTTCAACTTACTAACATGTATTTTTTAGTTTAGGGAGACATTCTCGTATTTTTAACTTGATTTTCTCCGCTTCTTTATTTGTTTCTCTTTCTGGAGCTCTTAATGTTTGGATGTTAGACCTTTTAAATGAATCTTTTTCTTTTCTTTCCTATTTTGCATCTGTCTTCTTTCTCTGCTTTTTGGGGGAGTTTCCCAATTTCCAGCCTGTCTTTTGACTTTTTAAAATTTCTACTAGCATTTGTAATTCCCTTCCATAAGCTCCTTTTTATTCTCTGAATTTTTTATTAACATCATGTTTTTGTTCATGAGCTCCATATCTACTCTCTCTAAGTTTATTAAGGATAGTTTTCCTGTTTTAGTTTTTAAATCTGTATTTTTTTTGCATTGATCTCTTTTATTAAAGACTTTTGAGCTATCTGGTTATCCTTGGCTCTCTGCTAATAATTAAGAGTGGAGGCCAGGCATGGTGGCTCACACCTGTAATCCCAGCACTTTGGGAGGCTGAGGTGGGCGGATCACCTGAGCACCTGAGATCAGGAGTTCGAGACCAGCCTGGCCAGCGTGGCAAAACCGTGTCTCTACTAAAAATAGAAAAATTAGCCAGGCGTGGTGGCACGTGCCTTTAGTCCCAGCTACTCAGGAGGCTGAGGCTGGAGAATCTCTTGAACCTAGGAGGCCGAGTTTGCAGTGAGCTGAGATCGTGCCACTGCACTCCTGCCTGGTCAACAAGAGCGAGACTCCGTCTCAAAAAAAAAAAAAAAGAATGGAAACTCTGAGCTTATGGGTGAGATATGTACGCTCTGAGCTTTGCTGTAGGGTGATCTGGCTGAACTATTTGTTACAGAACCCCCGTTGCTAGTATGTTTAGATCTTTCTTCTTGGGCTGCTAAGATTCCTCAGAGAAAAAAAAATATTCTAATCTTTCAAAGAGTAAAGGTCTATTCCAGCATTTTGAGAACCTAGTCAGGGAAGAGGGTTGGGGTGGGGGAGAATCTTTATGCTTGGTGTATACCAGTCATCTCCATTCTCAGTGTGGTGCTAAACTATCAACTGTGCCTGGCATTTAACTTTCATGCTTTAGACCAAAGGCTTTTTGGTGGCCTCTCCAGAGAATAAATACCCAGATATCTGCCAGGATGAAGAAGAGGCATTTGCCCAGGGTATGGACTAGGGAAAGAGAGATTTAACTGCTCTTAAACAGCTTTTATCTACCCGTTTTAGCCACCCCCACTTCTCAGTTCTCTCTGATTGGTACCTGATTCTCCTGGTACCTTTTGAAGATTCTGAAATCACGTTGTTCTCAACCCTTCTCACTACTAGCTTGGGATTCATCTTTCTTGGGTAATCATACATTGTGTTGGGTGTCCCTAAGGCCACCTTCAGCCTTGATGATTTGCTAGGACTCACAATTGTTAAACTCATGGTTACAGTTTATTACAGTGAAAGGACGTAGAGTCAAATCAGAGGGAAAAGATACATAAAGCCTGGAATAAACCAGACACACACTTCCAAGAGTCCTCTCCCAGTGGAGTTACACAGGATGTGCTTAATTCATTCAGCAATGAGGTGTAACAACACATGTGAGATGGTGTCTACCACAGAAGATCATTAGAAACTCAGTGCCCAAGATTTTTTTTATTGCGAGCTGGCCGTGTAGGTACCCTCTACCTAACAAATACCAAATGTCAAGATTCCAAGAAAGAAAACAGGTATTCAGTATAAACTATATTATTTGCACAAATGCTTTAGGTAAAGTGAAGCACAGCTCATCATTTAAGGAATGGTGGGAATCCTCCTGAAAGCCAGATTTCCAAATGCCAGCCACAGGCCAACTTTATAAGCAGTCTTTCTAAGGATAGCAGTCTTGAGCCTGCCATGTTAACCTTTTTCTGCACGTACACCCATCTGCTTTCTAGCTTCCAACATTCATTATTGCAGTCTTTCCTATTCTACTCAGATTTATGGGTTTATGCCTTTCATGAAAATTCCTTTACTGTTGTTTTAGTAGAATTTCAAGTTGGAACAAAATTAGATATGGATATTCGATATTTATTTGAATCATCAAAATTCATTTGATTGTAAATTAAACCATCCCAATTTGTATAATATCATTTTTAAGCAGCTTAGAAGAAATCAGACTAAGCAGAGAGAAGAGACTAAAAGAAAAAAAAATTTTTTTTTTGAGACAGAGTCTCACCCTGTAGCCCAAGCTGGAGTTCGGTGGCACGATCTCGGCTCACTGCAATCTTCGCCTCTGGGCCCAAGCAGTTCTCCTGCCTCAGCCTCCCAAGTAGCTGGGACTGGAGGTGTGCACCACCACACCCAGTTAATTTTTTTGTATTTTTAGTAGAGATAGGGTTTCACCATGTTGCCCTGGGTGGTCTCGAACTTCTGAGCTCAGGCGATCCACCCACCTCGGCCTCCCAAAGTGCTGGGATTACAGGCGTGAGCCAACACTCCTGGCCAATGAATAATTTTTTTAAGCATTAGGGTATTAAGACCCTAAGAGAGATGCAAGAAGATATTGAATCCTAGAAACAAGAATAGGCTGCTGTAAATATATATATTTTTTAGTATATATATCTACTAAATATATTTATATTTATATATTATTTATATTTATATAATAATATTTATATGTATATATTAAATATATAAATATATATTTCTTAGTAGATAAAATATATACATATATATTTTTAGTAGATAAAAGTTATTGGCCAGGCCTGGTGGCTCACACCTGTAATCCCAGCACTTTGGGAGGCTGAGACAGGTGGATCACCTGAAGTCAGGAGTTTGAGACCAGCCTGGCCAACATGGCAAAACCCCACTGAAAAGTACAAAAGAATTAGCCGGGCATGGTGGCAGATGCCTGTAATCTCAGCTACTCAGGAGGCTGAGGCAGGAGAATTGCTTGAACCCGGGCGGCAGAGGTTGCAGTGAGCCGAGATTGCGCCACTGCACTCCAGCCTCGGTGACAGAGTGAGACTTCTTCTCAAAAAAAAAAAAAAAAAAGTTGTTAACCATATGATAGACATAGAAGGTGAACATCTGGCCGGGTGCAGTGGCTCATGCTTGTAATCCCAGCACACTGGGAGGCCGAGGCAGGCAGATCACCTGAGGTCAGGAGTTCAACACAGGCCAGCCAACATGGTGAGATGCCTTCTCTACTAAAAAAAAAAAAAAAAATAGCTGGGCATGGTGATGCACGCCTGTAATTCTAGCTACTCAGGAGGCTGAGGCAGGAGAATTGTTTGAACCCAGTAGGCAGAGGTTGCAGTGAGCTGAGATCGCACCACTGCACTCCAGCCTGGGCAACAGAGAGACTCCGTCTCAAAAAAAAAAAAAGAAAGAAAGTGAACATTGAGGAAGAGTGCATTTATTCAATTTATGGCTAAAGTAGCTAAATGCTTCATATTTTATTTGCAGGCAATAACAATGGTAAGCTTGGGAATGGTGCGCTACTCTCTATAGGAACTTAAGCAATTGATATGGAAATTGGATAACTGCTTCTGTGAAAATCATCTACTTAATTGGATATGTATGCCTAACTCTTCACCATGGAAAAGAGATTATGTTTACCACAATTCATTTTTGCATCAATTTCAAATTTTATATTAGATATGCTCTCCAGTAAAGTTTCTATTTTAGATCAACAAAAGAGGGAAAATTAAATTGACAAAAATGAATTCCATAGAAAAGCATTTGTTCTATAAGTATTTCAGTACCTACTATCTTCAAAGCAACATGGTCTACATGTCATGGGTGAAAATAAACGATACACAGCTCCAGTGTAACCCTCTTGTCTTAGTCTGCTTAGTCTTCAGGCTGTTGTAATAAAATATCATAAACTGGGTAGTTTATAAGAAAACAAATTTATTTCTCACCATTCTGGAGGCTGGAAAGTTTCAGACCAAGGTGCCAGTAGATCCAGTGTCTGATAAGGATCCACTTTCTGGTTCATAGACAGTGCCTTCCCACTATGTCCTCACATGTTGTAAGAGGTGAGGAATCTATGGGATCTCTCTTATAAGGATACTAATCTCATTAATGAGGGCTGCATCCTCATGACCTAGCAGGTCCCAAAGGCCCCACCTCCTAATACTAATCACATTGGGGGTTAGTATTTCAACATGAATTTGCAGGGGACATAAACATTTCATATCATTGCACATTCCTCAAGTCTTGGGATACTTGTATTAATATTACATTAGGTGACAGTCACAAACAATATATTTGCAATACTCTCATCTTTCCTTTATTTGAAGCACTAAAGGAGACATATAAGTCTGCATTTTAAAATGGAAATATCTGGCCGGGCATGGTGGCTTATGCCTGTAATCCCAGCACTTTGGGAGGCCAAGGCGGGCAGATCACCTGAATTAAGGAGTTCGAGACCAGCCTGGCCAACATGGGGAAACCCAGTCTCTAATAAAAATACAAAAATTAGCCGGGTGTGTTGGTGTGCACCTGTCATCCCAGCTACTTGGGAGGCTGAGGCAGGAGAATGGCTTGAACCTGGGAAGTGGATGTTGCAGTGAGCTGAGATCATGGCAGTGCACTCCAGCCTGGGCAACAGAGTGAGACTCTGTCTCCAAAAATAAATAAATAATTAAAAATAATAAAATGAGAAAATCATTTCAAATCACTTGTATATGAGTTGAATATTACAAAATAAAATTGAGTATGCTAGTAATAACATTATTTTAAATCTTCAATAATTCAAATATCCTAAAATAATATTTTCTAAATAAGGATCTGCTAGTCTGTATATGGGATAAAAGTAGATTATGTGATATAAAATATTTGACAGCCATTAACCCTTAAAATTCTTTATACTTTCATAGAAAGAATAATATTCTTTTATAAATGGCCCATTTATCCAGTTTTTTCTGGTATTAAGAAAGAGCTGGAAAGATACAGCCCATCTGACTTAAATTGACATCAGTAAGTCATTTAGATACATTATTTACCATTCTGAACTTAAAAAAAATCTACATAAAGCATGTGTTTATTGTTTCATGAATTATTTCAGTATCTTAACAAATGATATATAATTGCTTGATATTTTTTCATATTACTAATTTTTAACTCATGATCATGTCCTGTTAGCTATATTCTATAATATACTTGGAATCTATTAATAGCAGATAATTGTGTTTAAGCCTACTATAATCCAAATGTGATTTAAGCACCTGGTTATGCTTCTATAATGCATTGGAACATGTTCTGCAAATCTGGGATGGTAGCTGACCTTTATTTTTTTTCTCATCCAGCTCAACTCCCTGTCACACCCATTATCCCAAGACCTGTAATTTTATGGATTATCCCTCTCACCCTGTACCGATTCTTGTCTTCACATGATCCTTTTAAATGCCTTCACTGAAATCTAGCTCTTCTCAGATGACATCTCATGTCTTTTGTGGGAAAAATGATCAGCCTATTTTATACTTCCCAATACTACTTACTAATATTATACCATCATCATCTCTGAAATCTGTGCCATCTGATTAGATCATCATTGGCTGTAATAATAACTTCCACCTTCCTGGATGAATCAGCACTTTCTTCCTTCTTCCCTGGTTTCCTGTGATATATGATCTTTCTCAAAACCCTTATTGATAACCCATCTAATGTCTCAATTCAGTGGTTTCTTAGAGCTCTAAAACCCTTCATTTCTATTTGAGCCACCCAGTAGCATGACCACACCTTGGATCAGCTCTTAAAAACTGAGCTATTCTTTCTGACCAATGTCTTCTCTTTTCCCTTATATATATTCAGTTTATTCTTTTATCTGTTTTTTACCCTCATCCTGACTTTTAGTCACTTTATCTCTTCTGTTCTCCCCACTCCATTCTAGTATTCCTCATCCCTTGACTTTTTGCCGTGCCAAACCTGTTCATTCACCAGAGTGAGTTCTTCCTCTACAATAGTGCCCACATTTTCCAATTCTAAATTACTACATGAAAAAATGCATCCTGGTTATTTGAACTTTTTATAATGTGTCAACCTAAAATAACAGAGATTGTCCAAAGACAATAAGTTTATTCAGGAATGAGAATGATTATAATCCAGGTTATATGTGCTAAGCTGGATCATGGGCATATTTGGGGAGGTTGAGGCAAGGGGAAACTTTTAAAGGCAAAATTCTAAAGGTTGCATAGTTGTTTTGAAATGGTTACCCCTCGTCACAAGGATTAATAACAAGGGCGGTGTCATTCCAAGGCTGAACAGGCAGTTGCTGGATAGATGTCCTCACAGAAGTATTCTTCGTGTAAGGTTACGGTGACTTTTGTGCATGTTTGTGGTCTTCAGAGAATCCTTGTAATCATTTTTATTATAGAAATGTGTATAAGACTCCTCCTTTTTGGCCTCCTGACTCCCTTTTGTTAAGATTTGGCATAAGTGACTCCACTTTGATTCTGACAACTTTCACAGGATCTCGCCCTGTTGCCCAGGCTGGAGTGCAGTAGCGCAATCATAACTCACTGCAGCCTCAAACTCCTGGGCTGAAGCCATCCTCTGCCTCAGCCTCCCAAGTAGCTAGGACGATAGGTGTGGTTATAGTCCTGATTGATTGATTGCAGAGACAGAGCCTTGCTATGCTGACCAGATTGGTCTCAAACTACTGGCCCCAAGCAATCCTCTTACCTCAGCCTCCCAAAGTGCTGGGATTTCAGGCATGAGCCACTGGATCTGGCCCATTTTTTTTTCTGTTAAATTGTTTCCATTTTAAAATCAGAAAACCTTGCTAATTATATCCACTATCAACTGCTCAACTTTAACTGGACCTTGCTGTTTCTCAATATATTCTTTTATAACCTTTCTATTCATGTGTTCCAAATGTTTTTCATATTCCAGTGCTTAAATCTAACATCTTTCACAAGAAGTGACCTTGCCACCTACTTTCCTAGAAAAAAATAGAATCCATCTGCCAAATTCTCTTATCCTTCTCGATATCAAAATATCAGAATCCATACTATATCCACATTTTTTATTATAACAAAGAGCTGGTTTGTAAATTATTTTAAATTTTCTGTGCAGACCTCCAAGTTTTTCTTTAATTTTCTTTTCTTCTCTCTTGACTCAAAAGTGTCTTCCTTTTCAGGACTAACATGCCTCTTCTGTCTAGAGCCTTCCTAACAATTAAACTAACTCTCTCTTGCTCTCGCTCTCACTTGCTCTCTCTCTCGCTCTGTCTCTCACTGTCTCTCCACTCTCCATCTTCTACTTCGCCCTCTATTTAGTCAATTTCTGACCAACAGATTGCTGAATCTTCAACCACGAAGAGTCTTTTACCCTACTTTAAATTTAACAGATTAGCCTGCTGTTGTTTTATGTACACAAGACCAAGGCCAGGTATGGTGGCTCACGCCTGTAATCCCAGCACTTTGGGAGGCCAAGGCGGGTGGATCACTTGAGGTCAGGAGTTTGAGACCAACCTGGTCAACATGGTGAAACCCTGTCTCTACTAAAAAACACAAAAATTAGCCAGGTATGGTGGCAAGCGCCTGCAGTCCCAGCTACTTGGGAGGCTGAGGCGTGAGAATCACTTGAACCCAGGAGGCAGAGGTTGCAGTGAGCTGAGATTGCACCACTGCATTCCAACCTGGGCGATAGAGGGAGACTCAGTCTCAAAAAAAAAAGAAAAGAAAAGAAAACACAAGACCCACAAGTCAGAGTGAAAGACCGTTTATCACTCATGGCTAAAGCAGCAACAAAAGCAATGTCTTTTTGCTGTGAGTCTCAAAGCCCCCAAATTCATAGGGCAGCACTGTGAGAGGATGTTACCTGCGCATGCAGTGGGGAATGCTACAGGAGAGAAAACCCTGAAATAAAAACAGAGACAGAGATAGACATTTATTCTAGAGTGTAAGCAAATCTTCACCAGGGAGAGAGAGGGAGAGTTTACTATCCTGGAATGTCCTCAGGGAGGACAGCGTTCTCTACCTTTATTATACCAGTCAGGAATATTCCTTCTGACCTTAAAGTAAACACTATCTCTTGCATTCAGGGATGTTTGTCATGCAAACCCCTTTGCTCAGAAGATCCAGACCATGCAAAAACATGAGACATTCATAGAGAATTCTCTTCCAACACAGATTTTCCCAGGTTTCTGTTAGCTTCAGATATCTCTCAGTCTGTACTCACTGCTTCTGTTGTCTTACTTCCTATCAACTCCTTGCACTTCTGCTCTGTCAATCTGAAAACTATTCTCTGCAAGGTACCAGTGACATACCAGTCACTCAATTAAATGGTCTTTTCTTAATCATTTCTGACGTTTTGCAGAATTTTAACAACGGCTCTACTTTCTTGCTTTTAACTCTAAACTACTCTGCTGTTTTCTATGACTAGTCTGATTCTTATGTTTCTCTCCTCTGCCCATCTCCCTTTTCTTTACTCTTGTGCTTTCTAATTGTGACTATTAAATGTGAACATATCACAGGTTGACTCTCATTCTACACTTTTTCCCTTAAGTGTATTCTACTGAGTTTCAGCTGTCACCTCTATAGGTGACTGTAATTTCCTTCTTGCATTCCAAAACTCACCTATTATCTTTATTTCTGCCTAGATGTAATACATTTTAAATATAACAATACATTTCGTGACCTGGCTTTTAAGTTTTTTGTCAGTGGTGCCCTCATTCTATCAATTGTTTAGATTCAAAACCTGAGAATATAGTTTAGTCAGCTCAAGTTCAACAGTCTTTTAACTGGAATTCTTTGCCCCACCGTAATGCATTTTCTACACTGTCACTTAAGAAATCATTCAAACGTAGAATCATATTACAGAGTTTATAGCCAGCCCAATTCTTCAGCATTTTATACAAAGCCTCCATGATTTGATGACTGCTTGCCTCCAGCTTCAACTTCTGCTGTTTCCCACACTATCCCACACACCACCACCACACGAAAACACTTTCTTTGACCTTAATTCACTGCTCATTTATTCAAACACTGTCTGAAAACCTACTGTGAACTAGGCATTATGGTAGGTATTGGGCTCTATATCTGAGTAAGTTATGGTCTTTCTTAAGAGAGAAATAAATATGTAAATAAATGATATAGATTATGATTAATAATGCAAGGATAAAAAGAGTTTTCTCTCTCCCTGAGACACTTAACCTAACAATATAAAGAATGACATTCTAGTAATGTCTGGAAGGATGAGTTGGAATTTGTTATCTGGCCATAAAACATAGTCTAAGCAAAGTAAAAATATGTACAAAGGCACAGAGATATAAAATTGAACCACCTATTTGAAGAGTTGTAAATAATTCAGAATGACCAGGCCAAGTGCAGTGGCTCATGCCTATAATCCCAGTACTTTGGGAGGCTGAGGCTGGCAGATCATTTGAGGTCAGGAGCTCGAGACCAGCCTGGCCAGCATGGTGAAACCCTTTTCTACTAAAAATACAAAAATTAACTGGGCATGGTGGCACACGCCTGTAGTTCCAGCTACTCGAGAGGCTGAGGCAGGAGAATTGCTTGAACCATGGAGGTGGATGTTGCAGTGAGCCAAGATCGTGCCAGTGCACTCCAGCCTGGGTAACAGAGTGAGACTCCTTCAATAAAAAGTAAAATGAAATAATAATTCAGAATAACTAAACCGTAAGTTTGAAGGTAGGCCTAAAAGGATACAAGGATGGGAAGGTGGAGCTAGGCAATAAAAAACCTTTTATGTATTAAAGGAGTGTGGACATTTTTCTGGAATAGTGTGATCAGATGTACTTTTTTAAAAGAAGTTCCTCCATCATAATAATTTATTCAGGTAAGAATCATTGGTAGATATTATGAACTAGTCAAGGAAATTTGAAGAGTAAAAGATATTTACATCATCTCTAAATATTGCTGTATGTGATACTCTTTAAATACAATGGGAAAACAGTAACTAAATGGTGGAAAAGCACTATAAATACCACTTTAACCAGTTGATTAAAGTTTTTTATTGTGTTTTGTTTCTGAGACAGAATTTTGCTCTTGTTGCCCAGGCTGGAGAGCAGTGATGCAATCTTGGCTCACTGCACCCTCTGCCTCCCGAGTTCAGGCAATTCTCTGGCCTCAGCCTCCTGAGTAGCTGGGACTACAGGTGCATGCCACCACTCCTGGCTGCTTTTTTTTTATTTAATAGAGACAGGGTTTCACCATGTTGGCCAGGCTGGTCTCGAACTCCTAACCTCAGGTGATCCACCTGCCTCAGCCTCCCAAAGTGCTGGGATTACAGGCATGAGCCACCGCTTCTGGCCCAATTGATTAAAGTTAACATCACAGTAATTGGACAAATCAACATCATTAACCTCCTGATATAATGCATTGAAGAGAATGCAACATCATCACTTCTGTGGTAATCCTACCAAAATGCATATCCAAAATCTAATCATAAGGAAACACTATAAGATCACTGGTCTCTATATTCTTCAAAATTGTGAATATCATGAAAGACAAAGGAAAGAAGTGAAGATTAAAAGAGACTAAATACACATGAAATATGTACCTAATGCATAATCCTGGATTTTTTTTCATAAAATACTTTATTGGAATGATTGGAAAAATATGAATAAGGTCTGAAAATTACATGATAGTATACATATTCAGTTTTATGATTTTTGTAATTATACTGTGGTTACATAGGAGAATTTTCATCTTTAAAGAAGTATACATTGAAGTACTTAGGGCAAAGTAGTGTCAAACAACTTTCTCTCAAATGATTTTTTGAAAATCATATATAGAACATTGATGTTCATAGCGGCAGCATTCACAATAGCCAAAAGGTAGAGGCTACCTAAGTGTCCATTGATTGATGAATGGATAAGCAAAATGTGGTACACACATGCAATGGAATATTATTCAGCCTTAGAAAGAAAGGACATTCTGACACATGCTACAGTGTAAATAAACCTTGAAGACATTATGCTAAATGAAAGTCACAAAAGGACAAATATTGTATGAATCTACTTATATGAGGTACATATAGTAGTTAAATTCATAAGGACAGAAAGTAGAGAGATGGCTGCCAGAGCCTGGAGGAGGAGGGAATGGGGAGTTGTTGTTTAATGAATGGGTATAGAGTTTCAGTTTGGGAAGATGAAAAGATTCAGGAGATGGATAAAGGTGATGGTTGCACAACATTGTGAATGTACTTAATGCCACTGAACCATACACTAAAAAATGGTTAAATTTTATGTTCTATCTATGTTACCACAATTTTTAAAAATTAAATAAATCATGTATGGGGGGAATTTTAAAAAGTGATCAAATGAACAGTTATCATCTGAAGAGGGTGGATGGAATTAAGAATGAAGGTAATCAATTAAAAGGCTGCTGTAATAATCCACTGTGATAGTGGAGATGGCAAAAGTGGATGCATCTATGACTTAATATAAGTAGTACAGTTTAGAGACTAACAGTATACTATTTTAGACTCCTTCATTACATTCAGCCTCTAGTAGATGGTAGTACTGTTACCAAAATACAGTCAGGCACCGCATAACAACGTTTCAGTCAATAACTCACCCCACATACAACAGTGGTCCCATAAGATTATAATGAAGCTGAAATATTCCTATAACCTAGTGATGTTGCAGCCATTTTAACATCATAGCCATTGTAACGTCATAGCACAATGCATTACTCACATGTTTATGGTGATGCTAGTGTAAACAAAGCTGTGCTGCCAGGGGTATAAAAGTGTAGCACATACAATTATGTACAGTATATAACACTGGATAATAAATGATTATGTTACTGGTTTATGTATTTACTATTATTTTAGAATGGCTTTCTACTTATTAAAAAAAAGTTAACTGTAATACAGCCTCACGTAGGTCCTTCAGGAAGTATTCCAGAAGAAGGCACTGTTATCATAGGAGATGACAGCTCCGTGCATGTTATTGCATCTAAACACCTTCCAGTGGCACAAGATGTGGAGTTAGAAGACAGTGATACAGATGATCCTGACCCTGTGTAGGCCTAAGCTAATGGGTGTATTTATGTCTTAGCTTTTAAGAAAAAAGTTCAAAAAGTAAAAAATAAAAATGAAAACATTTTACAATAGGAAAAAAAAAGCTTATTGAATAAGGATATGAAGAAAGAAAATATTTTTGTACAGCTGTATGACGTATTTGTGTTTTAAGCCAAGGGTCAGTACAAGAGTCAAAAACTTAAAAAGTGTATAAATTTAAAAAGTTATAGTAAGCTGAGGTTAATTTATTGTTCATTTTTAAAAATAAATTTAGTGTAGCATAAGTGTACAATGTTTATAAAGTCTACAGTAGTGTACAGTAATGTCCTAGGCCTACACATTCACTTACCACTAACTCACTGACTCACCCAGAGCAACTTCCAGCCCTGTAAGCTGCATTCATATTAAGTGCCCTATACAAGTGCACCATTTTTTATCTTGTATACCACATTTTTACTGTATGTTTTCTATGTTTAGATACACAAATACTTACCATCGTGTTATACTTGCACATAGCATTTGGTACAGCAGTAACATGCTGTACAGGTTTGTAGCCTAGGAGCATAGGCTATATACCATATGGCCTAGGTATGTAGTAGGCTATACCATCTAGGTTTGTGTAAATATACTCTGTAATGTTCACACACTGACACATTGTGCTTTTTTTGTTGTTTGTTTTGTTTTTTATTATACTTAAAGTTCTAGGATACATGTGTACAATGTGCAGGTTTGTTACATAGGTATACATGTGCCATGTTGTTTGCTGCACCCATCAACTGGACATTTACATTAGCTATTTCTCCTAATGCTACCCCTCCCCCAGCCCCCCACCCCCTTATAGGCCCCAGTGTGTGATGTTCCCCACCCTGTGTCCATGTGTTCTCATTGTTCAACTCCCACCTATACATGAGAACATGCGGTATTTGGTTTTCGGTCCTTGTGATAGTCTGCTGAGAATGATGTTTTCCAGCTTCACCCATGTCCCTGCAAAGGACAGGAACTCATTCTTTTTTATGGCTGTGTAGTATTCCATATTGCATATGTGCCACATTTTCTTAATCCAGTCTATCATTGATAGACATTTGGGTTGCTTCCAAGTCTTTACTATTGTGAATAGTGCTGCAGTAAACATACATGTGCATTGTCTTTATAGTAGCATGGTTTATAATCCTTTGGGTATACACCCAGTAATGGGATCGCTGGGTCAAGTAGTATTTCTAGTTCCAGATCCTTGAGGAATCGCCACACTGTCTTCCACAATGGTTGAACTAATTTACACTCCCAACAGTGTAAAAGCATTCCTATTTCTCCACATCCTCTCCAGCATCTGTTGTTTCCTGACTTTTTAATGATCACCATTCTAACTGGTGTGAAATGGTGTCTTATTGTGGTTTTGATTTGTGTCTCTCTAATGAGCAGTGATGATGAGTATTTTTTCATGTGTCTGTTGGCTGCATAAATGTCTTTTCAGAAGTGTCTGTTCATATCCTTCGCCCACTTTTTGATGGTGTTGTTTGTTTTTTTCTTGTAAATTTGTTTAAGTTCTTTGTAGATTCTGGATATTAGCCCTTTGTCAGATGGGTAGATTACAAAAATGTTCTCCCATTATGTAGGTCGCCTGTTCACTCTGATGACAGTTTCTTTTGGTATGCAGAAGCTCTTTATTTAATTAGATCCCATTTGTATATTTTGGCTTTTGTTGCCATTGCTTTTGGTGTTTTAGTTATGAAGTCTTTGCCCATGCCTACGTCCTGAATGGTATTGCCTAGGTTTTCTTCTAGGGTTTTTATGGCTTTAGGTCTTACATTTAAGTCTTTAATACGCCTTGAATTAATTTTTGTATAAGGTGTAACGAAAGGATCCAGTTTCAGCTTTCTGCATATAGCTAGCCAGTTTTCCCAGCACCATTTATTACATAGGGAATCCTTTTCCCATTGCTTGTTTTTGTCAGGTTTGTCAAAGATCAGATGGTTGTAGATGTGGGGTGTTATTTCTGAGGGCTCTGTTCTGTTCCATTGGTCTATATATCTGTTTTGGTACCAGTACCATGCTGTTTTGGTTACTGTAGCCTTATAGTATAGTTTGAAGTCAGGTACTGTGATGCCTCCAGCTTCGTTCTTTTTGCTGTTTTGCTAGGATTGTCTTGGCTATGGGGGCTCTTTTTTGGTTCCATATGAACTTTAAAGTAGTTTTTCCAATTCTGTGAAGAAAGTCATTGGTAGCTTGATGGGGATAGCAATGAATCTATAAATTACCTTGGGCAGTATGGGCATTTTCATGATACTGCTTCTTCCTATCCATGAGCATGGAATGTTCTTCCATTTGTTTGTGTCCTCTTTTATTTCATTGAGCAGTGGTTTGTAGTTCTCCTTGAAGAGGTCCTTCACATCCCTTGTAAGTTGGATTCTTAGGTATTTTATTCTCTTTGTAACAATTGTGAATGGGAATTCACTCATGATTTGCCTCTCTGTTTGTCTGTTATTGGTGTATAGGAATGCTTGTGATTTTTGCACATTGATTTTGTATCCTGAGACTTTGCTGAAGTTGCTTGTCAGCTTAAGGAGATTTTGGGCTGAGACGATGGGGTTTTCTAAATATACAATCATGTCATCTGCAAACAGGGACAATTTGACTTCCTCTTTTCCAATTGAATACCCTTTATTTCTTTCTCTTGCCTGATTGCCCTGGCCAGAATTTCCAACACTATGTTGAATAGGAGTGGTGAGAGAGAGCATCCTTGTCTTGTACCGATTTTCAAAGGGAGTGCTTCTAGTTTTTGCCCATTCAGTATGATACTGGCTGTGGGTTTGTAATAAATAGCTCTTATTATTTTGAGATATGTTGCATCAATTCCTAGTTTATTGAGAGTTTTTAGCATGAAGGGCTGTTGAATTTAATCGAAGGCCTTTTCTGCATCTATTGAGATTATCATGTGGTTTTTGTCATTGGTTCTGTTTATGTGATGGATTATGTTTATTGATTTGCATATGTTAAACCAGCCTTGCATCCCAGGGATGAAGCCGAGTTGATTGTGGTGGATAAGCTTTTTGATGTGCTGCTGGATTCAGTTTGCCAGTATTTTATTGAGTATTTTCACATCTATGTTTATTAGGGATATTGATCTAAAATTTTCCTTTTTTGTTGTGTCTCTGCCAGGCCTTTGTGTCGGGATGATGCTGGCCCCATAAAATGAGTTAGGGAGGAGTCCCTCTTTTTCTATTGATTGGAATAGTTCAGAAGGAATGGTAGCAGCTCCTCTTTGTACCTCTGGTAGAATTCGGCTGTGAATCCATCTGGTCCTGGACGTTTTTTGGTTAGTAGGCTATTAATTATTGCCTCAATTTCAGAACCTGTTATTGATCTATTCAGAGATTCAACTTCTTCCTGGTTTAGTCTTGGGAGGGTGTATGTGTCCAGGAATTTATCCATTTCTTCTGGATTTTCTAGTTTATTTGCATAGAGGTGTTTATAGTATTCTCTGATGGTAGTTTGTAATTCTGTGGGATCGGCGATGATATCCCCTTTATCATTTTTTGTTGCATCTATTTGATTCTTCTCTCTTTTCTTCTTTATTAGTCTTGCTAGCGGTCTCTCTATTTTGTTGATCTTTCAAAAAACCAGCTCCTGGATTCATTGATTTTTTTGAAGAGTTTTTCATGTCTCTGTCTCCCTCAGTTCTGCTCTGATCTTTGTTGTTTCTTGCCTTCTGCTAGCTTTTGAATTTGTTTGCTCTTGCTTCTCTAGTTCTTTTAATTGTGATGTTAGGGTGTCCATTTTAGATCTTTCCTGCTTTCTCTTGTGGAATTTAGTGCTGTAAATTTCCCTCTACACACTGCTTTAAATGTGTCCCAGAAATTCTGGTACGATGTGTCTTTGTTCTCATTGGTTTCAAAGAACATCTTTATTTCTGCCTTCATTTCATTATTTACCCAGTAGTCATTCAGGAGCAGGTTGTTCAATTTCCATGTAGTTGTGCAGTTCTGAGTGAGTTTCTTAATCCTGAGATTGATTGCCCTGTGGTCTGAGACACAGTTTGTTGTCATTTGTGTTCTTTTACATTTGTTCAGGAGTGTTTCACTTCCAATTATGTGGTCAATTTTAGAATAAGTGTGATGTGGTGCTGAGAAAAAGGTATATTCTGTTGATTTGGGATGGAGAGTTCTGTAGATGTCTATTAGGTCTGCTTGGTGCAGAGCTGAATTCAAGTCCTGGATATCCTTGTTAACCTTCTGTCTCGTTGATCTGGCTAATATTGACAGTGGGGTGTTAAAGTCTCCGATTATTGGGAGTCTAAGTCTCTTTGTAGATCTCTAAGGACTTGCTTTATGAGTCTGGGTGCTTCTGTATTGGGTGCATATATATTTAGGATAGTTAGCTCTTCTTGTTGAATTGATCCCTTTACCATTCAGTAATGGCCTTCTTTGTCTCTTTTGATCTTTGTTGGTTTAAAGTCTGTTTTATCAGAGACTATGATTGCAACCCCTGCTTTTTTTTGCTTTCCATTTGCTTGGTAGATCTTCCTCCATCCCTTTTTTTTGAGTCTATGTGTGTCTCTGCACATGAGATGGGTCTCCTGAATGCAGCACACCAATGGGTCTTGACTCTTTATCCAGTTTGCCAGTCTGTGTCTTTTAACTGGGGGCATTTAGCCCATTTACATTTAAGGTTAATATTGTTATGTGTGAATTTGATCCTGTCATTATGATGTTAGCTGGTTATTTTGCCCGTTAATTGATGCAGTTACTTCATAGCATTGATGATCTGTATAATTTGGCATGTTTTTGCAGTGGCTGGTACCGGTGTTTCTTTCCATGTTTAGTGCTTCCTTCAGGAGCTCTTGTAAGGCAGGCCTGGTGGAGACAAAATCTCTCAGCATTTGCTTGTCTGTAAAGGATTTTATTTCTCCTTCGCTTATGAAGCTTAGTTTGTCTGGATATGAAATTCTGGGTTGAAAATTCTTTTCTTTAAGAATGTTGAATATTGAACCCCACTCTTTTCTGGTTTGTGGGGTTTCTGCCGAGAGATCCCCTGTTAGTCTGATGGGCTTCCCTTCGTGGGTAACCCGACCTTTCTCTCTGGCTGCCCTTAACATTTTTTCCTTCATTTCAACCTTGGTGAATCTGACAATTATGTGTCTTGGGGTTCCTCTTCTTGAGGAGTATCTTTGTGGTGTTCTCTGAATTTCCTGGATTTGAATGTTGGCCTGCCTTGCTAGGTTGTGGAAGTTCTCCTGGATAATATCCTGAAGAGTGTTTTCTAACTTGGTTCCATTCTCCCCATCACTTTCAGGTACAACAATCAAACATAGATTTGGTCTTTTCACATAGTCCCATATTTCTTGGAGGCTTTTTTCATTTCTTTTTACTCTTTTTTCTCTAATCTTGTCTCCTCGCTCTGTTTTATTAATTTATCTTGAATCACTGATATCCTTTCTTCCACTTGATTGAATCGGCTATTGAAGCTTGTGCATGCATCACGAAGTTCTCATGCTATGGTTTTCAGCTCCATCAGGTCATTTAAGGTCTTCTCTACACTGTTTATTCTAGTTAGCCATTCGCCTGACCTTTTTTCAAGGTTTTTTGCTTTCTTGCATTGGGTTAGAACATGCTCCTTTAGCTCGGAGAAGTTTGATTACTGACCTTTTGAAGCCTACTTCTGTCAACTCGTCAAACTCGTTCTCCATCCAGTTTTGTTCCATTGCTGGCAAGGATCTGCTATCCTTTGGAGGAGAAGAGGCAGTCTGGTTTTTGGAATTTTCAGCTTTTGTGTTCTGGTTTCTCCCCATTTTTGTGGTTTTATTTACCTTTGGTCTTTGATGTTGGTGACCTACAGATGGGGTTTTGGTGTGGATGTCCTTTTTGTTGATGTTGATGCTATTCCTTTCTGTTTATTAGTTTTCCTTCTAACAGTCAGGCCTCTCAACTGTAGGTCTGTTGGAGTTTGCTAGAGGTCCACTTCAGAACCTATTTGCCTGGGTATCACCAGGGGAGGCTGCAGAACAGCAAATATTGCTGCTTGGTCCTTCCTCTGGATGCTTCGTCCCAGAGGGGCACCCGCCTGTATGAGGTGTCTGTCGGCCCCTACTGGGAGGTGTCTCCCAGTCAGGCTACACGGGTCAGGGACCCACTTGAGGAGGCAGTCTGTCCGTTCTCAGAGCTCAAACTCCGTGCTGGGAGAATCACTGCTCTCTTCCGAGCTGTTAGACAGGGACATTTAAGTCTGCAGAAGTTGTCTGCTGCCTTTTGTTCAGCTATGCCCTGCCCACAGAGGTGGCGTCTAGCGAGGCGGTAGGCCTTGCTGAGCTGCGGTGGGCTCTGCCCAGTTCGAGCTTCCTGGCTGGTTTGTTTACCTATTCAAGCCTCAACAATGGTGGATGCCCCTCCCCCTGCTGGGCTGCAGTGTTGCAGGTGGATCTCAGACTGCTGCGCTAGCATTGAGCAAGGCTCTGTGGGCGTGGGACCCACCAAGCCAGGCACAGGAGGGAATCTCCTGGTCTGCCAGTTGCTGAGACTGTGGGAAAAGTGCAGTATTTGGACGAGAGTGTACCATTCCTCCAGGTACAGTCTGTCACGGCTTCCCTTGCTTAGGAAAGGGAAATTCCCCAACCCCTTGTGCTTCCCAGGTGAGGCGACACCCTGCCCTGCTTCAGCTCACCCTCCATGGGCTGCACCCACTGTCCAACCAGTCCCAATGAGATGAACCAGGTACCTCAATTGGAAATGCAGAAATCACCTGTCTTCTGCGTCAACCTTGCTAGGTGCTGCAGACTGGAGCTGTTCCTATTTGGCCATCTTGGAAGGAACCCATCTTATATCTCCAAATGGTGCGTTTGTAACAATGCATTTCTCAGAACATATATCTCTGTCATTAAGCGACACGTGGCTGTACAGTAGGTATGAGTAGATGCACAGGCATCTATCTTTGCCTGATGATTCACCTGCCTAACACCAATTTACTCTTCATAAGTTGGCTCAAATATTATGAGAAGTCCTCCCTGACGCTCCAGACAGTTTTTCCCCTTACCTCATACCCTTTCTTGGAGTGAATTAGTCTTTTCTCCTTCTAGATTTTGTGATAGCATATTTTGCATTTATATCACAATGTATCAAAATAGATGGTTTTTCTGTTCTTTCATACTCTGAGCTCCTAGAGAGCAGAAACCGTGGTCATGTTTATGAATCCATAGCACCTTTCATAGAGTGTGATATATAATAGGCACTTGGTAAATGTTTAAATGAAATCAGTGAGTTACCATGTACCTTCACTATTTTTCTTCATAATGTACTTTCTTCTTTCTTTCCAGGTCCCCAAACTTCATACTCTACTTCAATAGTCCTGTAACTGGTCTTTCTACTTTTATTTTGTAGTTCCTCTGTAGTAGCCTGTACACTAATGTCAGATTAGTGAAATTCCATATTTTGGAATAGCTGTATAAAAACTTTCAATATCTTCCCATTATCTAAAGAATAATTTAAAGTTCACCAGTAAGGACTTGAGATCCTTAATACTATGTTCGCAGAATATACCATGTTTATTTCAAATTTGGTTTACCTACTCACCTGACTTTATTCAACAAGTATCTGAGCACCTGCCTTTTGTAAGGCTTTATAAAAGAAGAAAGTTTACTAAATATGATATATCCTCATTATCTTTGTGTTCACTTTTGGTACCTCATTTCGCTTTACAAATTCATTTCATTACTGAAGAAAATAGTCTTTGGAGAATACTCAGCCATATTCATATTTAAGCAAGAAGTTCCATTTTAGAATAAAACATGACTAATATAATGAAGTTTAGGATAGGTGGCAAGCCATTCAGCACAATGTCTGCCTCATAATACAAGTACAGTATATGTTTAAACTGAATTAATTCTGTTTAAATCTTTAAAGATAGAAATGTAGGTTTATGTTGATAACAAAGAAAGTTATTGATTTATTGTTTTAAGCCTTTGGAAACCTGTCTCTTAGTTTATGGTAGCTCAACTGTTAACATTTCAACTTTGCGTGCTATATGTTATTTATAGTGGTAGCACTTTAAAACACAAAATCAGAACATATTTAAGAATTCTATATTACACGTTTTCAAAATTTTTTTTTTATATTCTCTTTATAGGTTATATGTAAAGTCAGATGTGCCACTGAACTTGACAGACACAAGTAAGTTTTATGAGTATCTAAATTTCTATCTAAAAGATCTAAAGCATTAATTCATTAATATTAAGGCTTAGTATCTAAAAGATCTAATTTTTTTTAATAGTAGACTTCTCGTGGTAGAAGGGAGTGGTTGTTGAGGGCACCTTCACAGTTTTATAGAAAACCAAGTTGTTAGATTGGTTCAAAGGAATCAAATTGAGTAGCCCACATTTCTCTCCCTTCAGCCATACAGCTGACTAATTTTTTGTTTTTTTGCTGCTCTGTCCCTGCTTCAAATGTTAGATCTAACTTCATAGGGTCCACTTTTGCCAAAGTTAGATTATGCTGTTTGGAGTGAGAATGTTCCATGAAATAGGTAATATTTCAGTACTGATCAATCTCAATAGCGAGAGTGCTAAGCTGTGGAGTCAGGAGATTGGGGTTTCCAACCCAATTTTCCCACTAACTTGCTGACTGTGCAATTCATGTACCCTCTACTAGTTTCTAAACTACTCTAATTATCTGGATATGTAGGTGATTTCAAGATCCTTTTTGGGTTTCAAACTATGTAATTACTGTTTTTATTATTTAATCTGAGAGAACTTCAAAATACAACCTTTTAAAACTAAAATCTTTTTGCTTTGCATGTACACTAAGCAGTTTTGTTTGCTTGTTACAGATTGCACATTACCTTCAATTTACCTCGTTTAAACCATTTCCAAAGGCAGCTACTTTCTGATTTCCACTATTGAAATGACCCAATATATCAGGAAGCCAGATAAATTTCAGCATCATATGTATTTAATTTGGAAGTATAAATGTGTTTGAACTGGGATTACGTTCGTGCAGATAGTTGTTACTGCTACTTGATACACATAGCAGCCTTAACTGAAGAGTTCTTATGAGGTAGCCTAAATTTTCTTAGGGGGAAGAGATTAAGGAGTTCATGTGCAGAGTTGCTCTTCATGCACAGTAAATATGCAACTTTTTAAGAACATGAGGTATTAATGGGTGCTTGAAGCTCTACATATACTGTCCCTATGTTCTTCTTTAGTCAAGTTTGAAAGCATTTTTTGCTACAATCAGAAGTTCATAAGGAATATTGTTTAAAACATACTTTAACTCTTAAAAATTTTTTTTTCCTTTTTTTTTTTTTTTTATTGATACAGTCTCGCAGTCTCACCCAGGCTGGAGTGCAGTGGCGCTGTCTTGGCTCACTGCAACCTCCATCTCCTAGATTCAAGTGATTCTTGTGCCTCAGCCTCCTGAATAGCTGGGACTACAGGCGTGTGCCGCCATACCCAGCTAATTTTTGTATTTTTAGTAGAGATGAGGTTTCTCCATGTTGGCCAGGCTGGTCTCGAACTCCTGGCCTCAAGTGATCTGCCTGCCTCGGCCTCCCAAAGTTCTGAGATTACAGGCATGAGCCGCCATGCCTGGCCTAACTCTTAAAATTAATATTTTAATCAATTAAAATTTAATCAATATGAATTTAGATACAGTATATTAATTTTCAGGCACATTGTAAAAGCCTGATAATTCTTGGATTGGAAAGGTTAATGTAAATATGCTTAATAGTTATAAAAATGAAAAATTTGGGATTACTTGAAATAGTGTTAAGATAGTCCTATCTTATTCCTGGTGGAGAAACTGAGTTCAAGTCAACCTGAGACTATTTCTGAATAAATGCTTAAAAATCTATGCCATTCATAAACATTTCAAACTGAAGGAATTCTTGTACCTAACATAACACACTAATGCAGAATTAAATTTGATTTCTTATTAGTTATATAACCATCTAATATACTTTTTTTCTTTCAGAATTCTACTGCATTTGGGCTTTATAATGGCAAGCCTGCTCTTTTTAGTGGTGAACTTGACTTGCGCAATGCTAGTTCATGGAGATGTCCCAGAAAATCAGTTGAAGTGGACTGTGTTTGTTCGAGCATTAATTAATGATAGCCTGTTTATTCTTTGTGCCATCTCTTTAGTGTGTTACATATGCAAAATTACAAAAATGTCATCAGCTAATGTCTACCTCGAATCAAAGGTAAGAATATTTCTTAAATTGGCACTTGAAAATCTAATTTCAAATTCTTACCCTACTAATCATATTTTAATGGAAAGTTTATATTGCTATTTTATTTTATTTTATTTTATTTTATTTGAGACAGGGTCTCGCCATATTAGTCAGGCTAGAGTGCAATGGCTATTCACAGATGCAATCATTGTGCAGTACAGCCTTGAGCTTTTGGGCTCAAGTGATCCTCTGCCTCAACCTCCCAGGTAGCTGGGACTACAGGCATATTGCTTTTTTAAAAAATATCCTGAATGACAGTTACACTTTGAGCGTGAAAGAATAATCACTAGAAATTAAAAGTTATTCAGTATTTGGTCCTTACTAAACAATGGTTTAAAGAAAAGAAGAAAGAATATACTAAGCATGTTGTATTTTCTGTGATTCTGCATTGGAGGCTAATCACATGAAATAAATCAGAATATATATGAATGGATCAAAAATAGTCTATAATATAAAATCATGCTAGCATCTTAAGATTTTGCACAATAAGGGTGGCAGGGTTAGCAATGTTAAGATGTCATATAGGTAAAAGTGGTTTTTATTTGTATAAAGGTTAGAAAATGTTACTTCACCCAATAATATGAAGGCTGTGTGATATTTGAAACAACTAATTGTGTAGCAAAATTTATAAATGCCTTGCTTCTCCCTTGCCTTATACTTTGGATCAACAAACAGAAGCCAAATAGTAGCCCATTAACAAAGAAACATGGAAGTTTCTACCATTGTTGATTGACCATGTGATTGAGTAGAAAATTGATCATCACAGTTTATGTGTGGCATTGGGTGTGAGGGGGTAGATATGTGGATATTGGGGTATGGGTATGTACATAAATACATTTTTACAATCACTTCCACAGGAGAGCTTGTCTTCTTGCTTTAATTTGACATCATTGCCTATTCACTAATAATAAGTTGAGATAGTATCTTAGTTAAAATAGTCCTCTGAAATATTTTTAGGCTTCTATATTTTCGTTATCCTTAATATAGTCCTAGTAAAGTAAGGTACTATAATTAAATATATGGTAATCAACTTGTCCTTTAAATGTAGGCAGAGATTTTAATTTTACTTTTTAAATATATTTCAGTGGAATGCTGGGGGAGATATTATGTGTGTGTGTGTGTGTGTGTATATATATATAGAGAGAGAGAGAGAGAAGAGAAGAGACAAAGAAAATCAGACTTTCAAACTTATTAATCTTACCTGGAAAATTATTTTATTAAATTTCTAGTCTAGTTTGCTCCTAACATTTAAATATTTTAGCTAATTCAGGCTTTGGTTTGACTGTTAAAAATAATACTGTCACTGTTACAGTCCATAATCTTTTGGTAGGAGCAATGGCATCTTTATTTAGTATAATAACATCACTATAGAATTCATACCTGTTGCTTGTCTAGGGATAAAGCATAAATAGATGTTGAATTTCAAGTGCTTCTTCTCTAGATACCTAGTGTATTTCTAAGTTTGGTTTTTTACTCGCTTTGAAATAGATAATACTCTGAATAAAAGTCACCAATCTGAGAAGAAAATTTCATTTACTAAATCCTCCAGAATTATTAGAACACCATTCCCTTACTATCATATGAAAGGTATTCACTTATTTATTATTATTTAAAGTTTTAAATTTAAAAGCTGTATGGATTCGGAATTATCTAGGAATACTGCAGATATACATGTTCAGACGTGTTCACCTATGAAGGTAGATGACATACTAGATGATTTGTTTAATATTGTAATGTTAAGTAGTTCCCAGTCTTCCTAACTAGATTATAAACTTCTGTATTCAAAGAGCATGTCATCTTGCTTTCATGTTCTTGTATAATCACTAGACTCATTTTTGACTTTTGACTTCTATAACAGTGTACAATAATAGTCATTCCTTTTATTCAATCAACAAGTGTTTATTGAGCATCTACCTCTTTCACTTTCTGGGGTTTTTTTGGTTGTTTCTGTCCCTCTCTCTCTCTCTCCCTCTCAATACCTTTGTTACGCTTTCACTATCAAACTGACCCTGTTTCTTGTCTTTAAGAGCATTTCCTTAAAGTTCAGACTTTGGTCTTCTGTCTTCCTCTTTTCATTCTTTCTTCCTTCCTTTACATGTTCTGTGACAATAAGATCCTCTGTAATTTGTCTCAACCAATCTTACCTTCCTTATTTCCAAATAAAACACAGTATGCCCTCTATCTCTGTATTCTTAGGCTGTTTTATTATCCAGGAACGGCTTTCCTCTCACACATCTCTATCTGATTGTTCATGTCTTATCTAACTTTAAAGACCTCACTTAATCTTTCCCCTTTTTATGAACTCAATTTGATCCCTTCTCCCCCAACTCTAAAATAAAATTTAGAAATAACTCACTATCTGAATTATCTTAAAATTTTATTTATTTCTCTTGGGGCACTTATCAGTTTATACAAAGTGGCATTTGTATGTGCCATCTAATTTTTTTGTATTTTTTAATTGACGTCATATTTAGTTGTACATATTTTTGGGGTACATGTGATATTTTGCTACATGTATACAATATGTAATAATCAAATCAGGGTAATTGGGATATCATCACCTCAAACATTTATATTTTTGTATTGGAACATTACAGTTCTTTCTAGTTATTTTGAAACATATAATAAATTGTTATTAACTATAATTTCCATAATGTACTATCAAATACTTACTCTTATCTAACTGTATTTTTGTACTCATCAACCAACTTCTCTTCATCCTCCCCTACCACTCTTCCTTTTCCAGCCTCTAGTAACCATTATTCTACTCTACCTCCATGAGATCCACTTTTGTAGCTCCCACATGTGAGTGAGAACATGTAGTATATTTGTCTTTCTGTGCCTGGCTTATTTCACTTAACATAATGAACTCCAGGTCCATCCACGTTGTTTCAAATGACAGGATTTCATTCTTTTTATGCCCATGTAATAGTCCATTGTATACATGTACCACATTTTTTTATTCATTCATCTGTTGATGGACACTTAGGTTGATTCCATATCTTGGCTATTATGAATAGTGCTACAATAAATATGGGAGTGCACCTGTCTCTTTGACATAGTAATTTCCTTTCTCTTGGATATCTACCCAGCAGTGAGATTTCTGGATCATATGGTAGTTCTATTTTTAGTTTTTCAAGGAACTTCCATACTGCTTTTTGGGGTTGTTTGTTTGTTTTTGAGATGGAGTCTTGCTCTTTCGCTGAGGCTGGAGTACAAGTGGCGCACTCTTGGTTCGCTGCAACTTCTGCCTCCCAGGTTCAAGTAATTCTCCTGCCTCAGCCTCCCGAGTAGCTGGGATTACAGGTGCCTGACACCACGCCTGGCTAAATTTTTTTTGTGTTATTAGTAGAGACGGGGTTTCACCATGTTGGCCGGGCTGGTCTCAACCTCCTGACCTCAAGTAATCCACCCTCCTCAGCCTCCCAAAGTGCTGGGATTACAGATGGGAGCCACTGTGCCCAGCCTCATACTGTTTTTCATAACGGTTGTCCTACTTTACATTCCCATCAACAGTGTACAGGCATTCCCCTTTCTCTGCATCTCTGCCAGCACTTGATTTTTTGTCTTTTTGATAATAACCATTCTAACTATAGTGAGATGATAACCCATTGTGGTTTTGATTTGCATTTCCCTGATGATTGATGTTGAATTTTTTCATTTAACTGTTGGCCATTTGTATGTCTGCTTTTGTAGAGATGTCTATTCAGGTATGTTGCCCATTTTTAATTTGATTATCTATCTTTTTGCTATTGATTGTTTGAGTTCCTTATATATTCTGGTTATTAATCCCTTGTTGAATGGATAACTTGTAAATATTTACTCCCATTCTATAGGTTGTCACTTCACTTTGTTAATTGTTTCCTTTGCTTTGCAGGAGCTTTTTAGCCTGATGTAATCCCATTTGTCTATTATTACTTTGGTTGCCTATGCTTTTGAGGCCTTACCCAAAAAATATTTGCCCAGATGAAGGTCCTGGAGCATTTCCCCAGTGTTTTCTTCTAGTACTTTCATAGTTTCAGGTCTTAAATTTATGTTTTAAATCCATTTTTGTAGATGGTGAGAGATGGGGCTTTTTTTTTTTTCTTGAGACAGAGTCTAGCTCTGTCTGTCACCCAGACTCTAGTGCAGTGTTGTGATCCTGGCTCACTACAACCTCCACCTCCCAGGTTCAAGCGATTCTCCAGCCTCAGCCTCCCATGTAGCTGGAATTACAGGTGCTCACCACCACGCCTGGCTAATTTTTTTGTATTTTTAGTAGAGATGGGGTTTTGCCGTGTTGGCCAGGCTGCTCTTAAACTCCTGATCTCAGGTGATCCACCTGCCTTGGCCTCCCAAAGTGCCAGGATTACAGGCATGAGCCATCGCGCACAGCCAAAATGGGGCTGTTTAATTCCTCTGCATATGGATAACCAGTTTTCCCAGCACCATTTATTGAGATTGTGACTTCCCCCAGTGTATGTTCTGGGCATCTTTGTCAAAAATAAGTTGGCTATAAGTGTGTGGATTTATTTCTGAGTTCTGTGTTCTATTCCACTGGTCTGTGTGTCTGTTTTTATGCCAGTACCATGCTGTTTTGGATACTATAGCTTTGCAGTATAATTTAAAATCAAATATTGTGATGCCTCCAACTTCATTCTTTTTACTTAGGATTGCTTTAGCTATTCAGGGTCTTTTGTGGTTCCATATAATTTTAGGACTTTTCTTCTATTTCTTTGAAGAATGTAATTGCTATTTTGACAGATATTTCATTGAATCTGTAGATCACTTTGGGTAGTATAGAAATTTTCACAATATTGATTCTTTCAATTAGTGAGCATGGGATGTCTTTCCATTTTTTGTGTCCTCTTCAATTTCTTTCTTCACTATTTCATGGTTTTCATTATAGAGATCTTTTACTTCTTAGGTTTAATTTATTCCTGGATATTTTTTGGTAGCTCTTGTAAATGAGATTGATTTCTTGATTTCTTTTTCAGATTGATCACTGTTAACATATAGAAACACTACTGATTTCTGTATGTTGATTTTGTATCCTTCAATTTTACTGATCATTTATCAGTTCTAATAGTTCTTTGTGGAATCTTTAAGTTTTTCAAAATATGAGATCATATAATCTGTAACAAGGATTAATTTGACTTCTTCCTTTCTAGTCTGGATGCCCTTTATTTCTTTCTCTTGCCTAATTGCTCTGGCTTAGACTTCCAGTACTATGTTGTGTAAAAGTGGTGAAAGTGGGCATCCTTATGTTGTTCCAGATTTTAGTGGAAAGGCTTTCAATTTTTCCCCATTCAATATAGTATTAGTTGTGTGTTTGTCATATTTAGACTTTATCTTGCTGAGGTATGTTCTGTACCCTATTTTTTTACGGCTTTTATCATGAAAGGATGTTGAATTTTACTGAATGCTTTTTAAGCATCTATTGAAATGAACATGTGGTTTTTGTTCTTCATTCTGTTGCTGCGATATATCACATTTGTTGATTTGTGTACATTGAGCCTTCCTTGCATCCCTGGGATGAATCAATTTGATCATGGCAAATGATCTTTTCAATGTGTTGTTGAATTCTGTTTGCCAGTATTTTGTCAAGGATGTTTGCATCTATTTTCATCAGAGATGTTGGCCTGTAGAGTTTTTTGTTGTTTGTCTCTTTTCCTGTTTTTGGCATCAGAGGGTAATGCTAGCCTCATAGAATGATTTTGGAAATGTTCCCGCTCCTTCAATTTTTTGAAATTGTTTGAGCAGAATTGGTATTAGTTCTTCTTTAAACTTTCAGTAGAATTTAGCTGTGAAGCCATAAGGTCCTGTGCTTTTTCTTTGTTGGGGGACTTTATTACTGTTTTAATACTGTTACTCATTATTGATGTATTCAGGTTTTCTTCGTTATTCAGTCATGGTAGGTTATATGTGTTCAGGAACTTATCCATTTCTTCCAGGTTTTCTAATTTGTTGGCATGTAGTTCGTAATAGTCTCTAATGATTTCTTGTATTTCTGTGGTATCTGTTATAATGTTTCCTTTTCTTTTTCTTTTTTATTTTACATGAATAGTGCTTTTATTTATTAATTAAATTTGTTTATTTACTTTGAGACAGTGTCTTGCTGTGTCACCCAGGCTGGAGTGGGCAATGGTGTGATCTCAGCTCACTACAGCCTGGACCTCCCAGGCTCAAGTGATCCTCCCACCTCAGACTCCCAGGGCTGGGACTACAGGCATGTGCCACCACACCCAGCCAATTTTTTAAATTTTTTGTAGACAGAATCTATGTTGTCCAGGCTGCTAATGTTTCTCTTTTCATCCTTAGTTTTAATTATTTGAGTCTTCTCTTTTTGTTAGTCTAGCTAAGTTTGTTGATTTATTTTTTCAAAAAACAAACTTTTTGTTTTGTTCCTCTTTTGTATTTTTTTAAGTCTCAATTTCATTTATTTCTGCTTTAATCTTCATTATTTCTTTCCTTCTACTAATTTTGGCTTTGGCTTGCTCTTGCTTTTCTGTTTCCTTGAGATACATTATTAGATTGTTTATTTGTCTTTCTATTTTTTTGATGGAGGCATTTACTTCTATAAACTTCCCTCTTGCTGCTGCATTTGCTGTATCCTATAGTTTCTGGTATGTTGTGTTTCCATTTTTGTTTTTCTCAAGAAATTTTTTAATTTCCTTAACTTATTCGTTGAGCCATTGATCGTTCAGGAACATGTTATTTAATTTCCATGTATTTTTACAGTTTCAGAAGTTCCTCCTGTTACTGATTTCTAGTCTTGCTCTGTTGCAGCCAGAAAAGATATTGATATGATTTGACTTTGTTTAATTAATTTGTTGAGACTTGTTTTCTGGCCTAACATGTGGTCTATTCTGGAGAATGTTTTAGGTACTGATGAGAAAAATGTGCATTCTGCAGCAGTTGGATGAAATGTTTTATGGATGTCTGTTAGGGCTAGTTGGCTTAGAGTATAATTTATCTCCAATGTTTCTTTGTTGATTTTCCACCTGGATGATCTGTCCGTTGCTAAAAGTGAGGTGTTGAAGTCCCCTACTGCTACTGTATTGCAGTTTATCTCTCCCTTTAGCTTTGCTAATATTAATATTTGCTTCATATATTTGGGTGTTCTTGGTGTTGGATGTATATATATTTATTGTTGTCATGTCTTCTTGCTCAGTTGACTGACACCTTTGTATAATGACGTTTGTGTCTTTTTACAATTTTTGACTTAAAGTCTATTTTATCTGGCCAAGTGCAGTGGTTCATGCCTGTAATCCCAGCACTTTAGGAAGCCAAGGTGGGCAGATGGCTTGGCTCAGGAGTTCAAGACCAGCCTGGCCAACATGGCAAAACCCCGTCTCTAGTAAAAATACAAAAATTAGCTGGGCATGGTGGCGCATGCCTGTAATCCCAGCTGCTTGGGAGGCTGAGGCACAAGAATCGCTTGAGCACAGGAGGTGGAGGTTGCAGTGAGCTGAGATCACACCACTGCACTCCAGCCTGGGCAGCAGAGCGAGACTCTGTCTCAAAAAAAAAAAAAGAAAAAGACAAGGTCTATTTTATCTGATATGAATATAGCTCTTCCTACTCCTTTTTGGTTTCCATTTGCATGGAATATCTTTTTCCATCCCCTCACTTTCAGTGTATTGTGTCTTTACAGGTGAAGTGATTTTCCTGTAGGCAACATATAGTTAGATCATGTTTTTTAATCCATTTTGCCACTCTGTATCTTTTAATTAGACAGTTTAATCCATTTACACTAAATGTTACTATTGATATGTCAGGATTTACTGCCATTTTTGCTTCTTTTCTAACTCCTCTCTTCCTTTCTTCCTTTTTTACTGTCTTCTTTTGTGGTTAAGTGATTTCTCTGGCAGTATGTTTTAATCTATTGCTTTTTATTTTTAGTGTATCTGTTATAGATTTTTGCTTTGTGGTTACCATGAGGCTTACAAAAAATATTCTGTAGTTAACAACAAGTTACTTAAGATTGATAACAACTTTGATCACAAAAAGAAGAGAAAACAAAGAACACTGTACACATTAGCTCCATTCTCTTCCCCACATTTTGAACGTTTGATGGCACAATTTGCATTTTTATATTGCCTGTCTCTTGGTAAATTGTAGTCATTATTTTTAATACTTCTGTCTTTTAGTCTTCTTAGTAAATATATAAGTGGTTTATGCATCATGATTATAATATTAGTGTAACAATCATGTTAACAGTCTTTTTCCTGTGGTTTAAAAAAATTCCCTTTAGCATTTATTGTAGGACAGCTCTGGTGATAAATTCCCAGTTTTTGTTTGTGAAAGTCTCTCTTTCACTTCTAAATAATAGCTTTGCTAGATAGAGTATTCTTAGAAGGCTTTTTTTTTTTCCATCAGCACTCTGAATATATCATCCCATTCACTCCTGGCCCGTAATGTTTCTGCTGAGAAGTCTGCTGCCAGGTGTATTGGATCTTTCCTAAATGTTATTTGCATCTTTACTCTTGCTGCTTTCAGGATCTTCTCTTTGTCTTTCACCTTTGGGAGTTTGATTATATGTCTTAGAGTATCTTTACTTGGACTGACTCTGATTGGTGACCTTTGACTTTCCTGTACCTGGATATTTGTATCTTTCTCCAGGTTTGGGAAGTTTTCTGTTATTATTTCTTCAAATAAACTTTCTACCCCTGTCTTTCTCAGTTCCCTACCTAACTCCAACACCCCAAATATTTGCTTTTTTATGTTGGCCCACAGATTCATAAGCTTTCTTCATTTCTTTTTTTTCTTTTTTCTCCCCTGTGTATTTTCAGCTAGTCTGTTTTCAAGCTCACTGATTGTTCTGTTTAACCAATTCTGCTGTTGCTCCCTATTACATCTTTCATTTCATTCAGTGTATTTTCAGCTCCTGAGTTTCTGTTTGATTGTTTTTATTATTTCAATCTCTATATTAAATTTCTTTGATATATTCCTCATTTGAGTCTCTGTGATTTCCTGAAGTTCATTGACCTTCCTTAAAACAGCTATTTAAAATTCTTTGAGAGATCTCACATCTCCATCACTTTGGGGTAAGTGGCACCTTATTTTATCCATTTGATGAGGTCATATTTCTCTGAATGTTCTTGATGCTTGTGGAAGTATGACGGTGTCTACACACCAAGGGGTTACATTTTTATTTTAGTTTTCACAGTCTGGCTTTGTTTATGCCTGGCCTTCTTCAGAGGGCCTTCCAGGGATTCTAAACAGACTGACTTGTGTTTCCTGAGCCTGTGTCTACTGCAGTTGTCTCAGCACTGGAGGACGCTCTAAGCCTAGGCTTGCTCCATGTCTTGTGAGGGCTCGGAAGTTGATGCCAATTTCTGGCCCAGATGGATCTGGGGAAGACACAAGGAAGGTACCGGGGCTGGGTGGGAATGCTGGCCAGGGACCCAAGTCCAGAAAACTGTCCCAGTGGCCCAGATGGGTGTGCCTCCCAGCAGGTATTTACACAGGAGTAGGTGGAGCTTAAGAGACAAAGGCAGTATGACTTCAATGGCATGTAAGACCTGGCCTTTGACTATTTTTGTGATTCCCCTACCACTATCACTCTCCTCTTCCTTTTCTAGCCACATTGGCTTTTTGTGCCCCAACTTCTCACCGCAAAACATACACTAAGTTTATTCCAGCCATATAGACTTTGTATTGTATATATTGTTCCCTCTGCCTAAATTGCATTTTCTACAGGTACCTATGTGATGGCTTCTTTGCATTCAGGCCTCAGTCGCTTTTTCAAAGTTGCTCTTCTTCACTACCCAAATAAGACTATCCCCCATTCTGATTACTACATCTGTCACCCTCTTTTGTTATCTTCACAGCATTTATCAGTAGCCAAAATTATTTATTCATTTATTTTCTTAGTTATTTTCTGCTTCTCCCTGCTAAAGTATAAACCAGGAAAGGAGCTCTCTTATTTGTGTTATTCATTTTTCAGTCCTTTTCTAAAATAATGCCTGGCATATTTTAGTGAAGTGAAGACAAGGGTAGTCTCCCCTTATCTGCGGTTTCCTTTCCACGATTTCAGTTACTGCAGTCAACCTCAGTCTGAAAATAGGTGAGTACAGTACAATAAAATATATTGAGAGAGAGATGACCACATTCACATACCTTTTATTACAGCATTTTGTTATAATTATTCCATTTATTACTATTTTGTTAATTTCTTAGTATGCCTGATTTATAAATTAAATTTTATTATAGGTATGTATGGATAAGAAAAAAAGTAGTACATATCGGGTTTGGTACTATCCATAGTTTCAGGTATCCACTTAGGGTTTTGGAACAAATACCCTATGGGTAAGGAGGGGACGACTGTAGTAGATGTTCGGTAAATATTTGTTGAATAAATACATTCTATGCTTGCATATAGTCTTAGCCAGAGCAGCTTTACTTTAGTAACCAAATAAGCCTTCACAACTGGGTTGTATCAAGAGCAAATTGAACCAATAAACATGCCCAAGTTCACATAGTTGAACCAGGATTCAAACTCAAGTCTGACCATAGGTCTCTGCTAGTAACCACCATGCATTGACTCCATTTACATCACCCTGTGTTTACTTATAATCTTTTAGGTGTGTATTTTTATATAGGTTTTAATTTACATGGATATGTTTGTTTGCTTATTAATAACATTATTTCACATAAATTCTTATTGGATTTTGCCATAATACTCTCCAAAAGAATAAATCATTTTATAATGCTATCATTAATATAAAAGTATACCTTGTTTCCTCTGCTCCATCAATATTTGGGTCTAAATTTTATTTATTTTGGTTTTTTCATTGATATGCCTTAAAAGTTTTAATTTAGATTTATCTAATTGTTATGCATTTATAATTCATGTAGATAATTATTCACATTTCTATATGTATAAACTATTTCTCAATGATTTGTAGAGTGGAATCTGGGAATTTATTCTTTATATCTTTGGCATGTGTGATTTCTGTTTATATTAAAATGTTATCTTTTTTAAGAATGATAGCCTTCGTAAGTCTAATGTGTACCTAGTTATGAATAGATATTTAATCTTATTAAATTCTTGTTAATTACTTTATATTGCTACAGTTTTCCTTTTCTATTTATTATACAAATATAGTAAATTGTTTGACTAGATTTTTGTCATATTCCTTGAATTTTAAGGATACAACCTCCTTTTGTTATTTTTTGTTATTTTTTTAATTTTGGTATTTTCATTGTTATATTATTTAAAATGTTATTAAACCTACACTTGAAGTAAAATTAACCAACTTTTTTTGACTTTTTAGTATCTTTTCAGGTTTCAGGATATAAATGTATTTATTTCAAATAAATTGTACACTACATAGTACAAAGTAGTAATAACTCAAGGTCTAGAGTTATATTGCTGGATTTAAATCAGAGATCTGCCATTTATCAGCTCTATGACTTTAACCTCTCTGTCCACCTTTAAACTGAAGATAAAGTATAGTAATCATGTCCATAGTGGTGTTGCAAGGATGAAATAATAATGTATGGAAAGTCATAGTATATTACGTGGCACTAAAAATATAAATGTTGACTCGCTATCATCTTCATCATCATATTTTGACATAGTTTATAGAATAGGCTTGTTCTTACAAAACTTGGAAAAATCCTTTCATTACCCATTTGGCAGAATGTTGTTCTTTGGTAAACTTTTTTGGTTTTCTTTTGTTTTTCACTGTTATTTGTCTGTTAACTGGTTTTATTTCTACCAGACTTGCTGTTTTATAGTTTTATGGGCAGTTAGCCATATTATCCTTACTAAAAATGTATTTTTTCTGATTATTAAAACTTGGCAATATGAAAGAATATGATTTCTTTAATGTTCTAAACAGCCGTAGTGTCACCACTGACACTTAACTGTATTTGGAACTCAGTGTAAATGTAAATATAATTTTATACCCTGCTTTTCCCCTTATACTAGTAAAGGATTTTCTCATGCTATTAAAAATTATTTTTAAGGCTGCATAACATTTCATCATATACCAAAATTAATTCTTATCCTACTGATAGGCCTTTAAGTGGTTTTCAAAAAAGAATGTCAGCCTCCATAATGTTAATTTTCTTCAAAATCAGTTTTGTTTTGCTTTTTATTTTTAGTAAGAGTTAGAGGTTTTAGTAATTACATCTAGAACTGTGTATCCCAGCCTCAGTTTACAGAGCACTCACGTATCTTTTATGTTATGATTTGCATTACTTTTTTTTCTTGATAGAGACACATTCTCACTGTGTCACCCAGGCTGGAATGTAGTGGCGCAATTATAGCTTACTGTAACCTCAAACTCCTGGGCTTATGTAATTCTCCTACCTCAGCCTCCCAAGTAGCTAGAACTGCGAGCATTCACCACCACACTCAGCTTTTTTTTTTTTTTTTTCTTTGGAGAGAACAAGTCTTGCTATGTTGCCCAGGCTGCTCTCAAACTCCTGGCCTCAGATGATCCTGTCATCTTGGCCTTCCAAAGTACTGGGATTACAAGCATGAGCCATGGTACTCAGCCCATTATTATTTTTTTTAATTCTTAGAAAATTTTTTATTTTTAATTTTTGTGGGTGATTATAAGGTATATATGTATGGGGTATATAAAATATTTTTGGGCCAGGCGCAGTGGCTCACGCCTGTTGTAATCCCAGCACCTTGGGAGGCCAAGGCGGGTGGATCACGAGGTCAGGAGATCAAGACCATCCTGGCTAACACGGTGAAACCCTGTCTCTACTAAAAATACAAAAAATTTGCCCGGCATGGTGGCGGGTGCCTGTAGTCCCAGCTAATCGGGAGGCTGAGGCAGGAGAACGGTGTGAACCCAGGAGGCGGAGCTTGCAGTGAGCTGAGATCATGCCACTGCACCTCCAGCCTGGGGGACAGAGTGAGACTCCACCTCAAAAAAAAAAAAAAAAAGATATTTCTGATACAGGCATGAGAAGCATAATAATTACATTATGGAAAATGCAATATCCATCCCCTCAAGCATTTATCCTTTGTGTTACAAACAATTCAATTATACCCTTTTAGTTATTTTAGAATACACAATTAAATTATTATCCATAGTCACCCTGTTGTGCTATCAACTAGGTCTTATTAATTCTTTCTAACTACTTTTTGTACCCATTAACCATCCCCACTTCTCCCCAACCCCTCCACTACCCTTCCCAACCTCTGGTAACCATCCTTCTACTCTCTATCTCCATGAGTTCAATTGTTCTGATTTTTAGCTCCAACAAATAAGTGAGAACATGCGATGTTTGTCTTTCTGTGCCTGGCATATTTTATTTAACATGATGATCTCCAGTTCCATGTTGTTGCAGATTACAGGATCTCATTCTTTCTTATGGCTGAATAGTACTCCATTGTGTGTAAGTACCACATTTCTTTACCCATTCATGTGTTGATGGACACTTAGGTTGCTTGCAAATCTTGGCTGTTTGGACAGTGCTGGCTGCAACAGACATGGGAGTGCAGATATCTCTTTGATATACTGATTTCCTTTCTTTTGGGTATATACCCAGCAGTGGGATTGCTGGATTGTATGGTAGCTCTGTTTTTAGTTTTTTGAGGAGCCTCCAAACCATTCTCCATAGTGGTTGTACTAATTTACATTCCCACCAACAGTGTCCAAGGTTCCCTTTTCCTCACAACCTTACCAGTATTTGTTATTGCCTGTTTTTTGAATGAAAGCCCATTTCACTGGGATGAGATGATACCTCATTATAGTTTTGATTTGTATTTCTCTGATGTTAAATGATGTTGAGCACTTTTTCTTTTTTTTTTTTTTGAGACAGAGTCCCACTCTGTCACCGCAGGCTGGAGTGCAGTGGCATGATCTCAGCTCCCCGCAGCCTCAACCTCCTGGGCTCAATCAGTCCTCCCACTTCAGCCTCCCTATTAGCTGGTACCGTAGGCATGCACCACCACACCTGGCTAATTTTTGTACTTTCTGTAGAGATAGGGTTTCACCATGTCGCCCAGGCTGGTCTCAAACTCCTGAGCTCAAGCAATCTGCCCACCTCGGCCTTCCAAATTGCTGGGATTACAGGTGTGAGCCATGAGCACTTTTTCATATTCTTGTTCGCCATTCATAAGTCTTCTTTTGAGAAATATCTTTTCAAAGCTTTTGACCATTTTTATTTTATTTTCCTTTTTTTGAAACAGTGACACTCTGTTGACTAGGCTAGAGTGCAGTGGTGCAATCACAGCTCACTGCAGCCTCAACCTCCTGGGCCCAGGTGATCCTCCTGCCTCAGCTTCCTGAGTGGCTGGGACTACAGGCATGTGCCACCATGCCCGACTAATTTTTTATATTTTGTAGAGACGGGGTCTCGCTATGTTACCCAGGCTGGCCTTGAACTCTTGGTCTTAAGCTATCCTTCTGACTCAACCTCCCAAAGCATTGGGATTACAGGCATGAGCCACCATGCCCAGCTGCCCATTTTTAAATCAGATTATTAAATTTTTTTTCCTATAGAGTTTGAGTTCCTCATATATTCTGGTTATTAATCCCTTGTCAGATGAGTAGTTTGCAAATGTTTTTTTCCATTCTGTGGGTTGTCTCTTCACTTTCTTAACTGTTTCCTTTGCTGCACAGAAGCTTTTTAACTCGATAGGATCCAATCCATCCATTTTTGCTTTGGTTGCTTGCGCTTGTGGAGTACTACTCAAGAAACTTTTGCCCAGACCAATGTCTTGGAGAGTTTCCCCAAGTAGTAGTAGTTTCATAATTTGAGGTCTTAGATTTAAGTGTTTAATTCGTTTTGATTTAATTTTTGCATGTAGCAAGAGATAAGGGTACAGTTTCATTCTTCTGCATATGTATATCCAGTTTTCTGAGCACCATTTATTGAAGAAACTACCTTTTCCCCAGTGTATGTTCTTGGCACCTTTGTCAAAAATGAGTTCACTATAGGTGTGTGGATTGGTTTCTGGGTTCTCTATTCTGTCCTACTGGTTTATGTGTCTGTTTTTATGTCAGTATCATGCTGTTTAGGTTACTAAAGCTCTGTAGTATAATTTGAAGTCAAGTAATATGATTGCTCGAGTTTTGTTCTTTTTGCTCAGGATGTCTTTGGCTATTCTGGGTCTTTTGTGGTTCCATATACATTTTAGGGTTTTTTTTTTTTTTGGTCATTTCTGTGAAGAATCTCATTGGCATTTTAATAGGGATTGCATTGAATCTGTAGATTGCTTTGGGTAGTATGGACATTTTAACAATATTGATTCTTCCAATCCATGAACATGAAATATCTTTCCATTTATTTGGTGTCCTCTTCAGTTCCTTTAATCAGTGCTTTATAGTTTTCATTGTAGAGATCTTTCACTTCTTCGGTTGACTTAATGTTTAGATATTTAATTTTATTTGTGGCTATTATAAATGAGATTACTGGTTTGATTTCTTTTTCACATTGTTGACTGTTGGCATGTAGAAATGCCACTGATTTGTGAATGTTGATTTTTGTATCCTGCTATTTTTTAATTTGTATTTATTAAGCAACTGAAACAGTGCTGTGATTTGATTCTTTTTCAGTATAGCACTCTCACTTGCTTTTTAAATACTAGTTATTGTAAATTTGAATAGTTTATTTCTACTCTTTCATTTTTTTATTTTCTCACATATTTAAGGTTGCTACTTTCTTCCATGTCAATGTCCTTGTATAGACATTTAATTCATTTTTTGTAAACTAATACAGGTATTTAGAGCAATATGTTTTCTCAAGTACTGCCTTGGCACCTTTCTATAATCTTGTAATATTATAGCAAAAGTCATTATTTAACAAAAATCAAGAAAATTTCTGTTTGGATTTCAGCCCTGTCTCAAACATTGCATATTTACACATCAGTATGAGTTGGAAACTATCTCTAGTTATAAGTCTTCCTTCAGCTCACCTTGGGAAAAAAAGCCTAAAATTCACACATATGTTCTCTTTTTTGTTTGTTTGTTTGTTTGTTTGTTTTGAGACAGGGTCTTGCCCTGTCACCTAGGCTGGAGTGCAGTGGCCCAATCTCAGCTCACTGCAACCTCTGCCTCCTGGGTTCAAGGGATTCTCATGTGTTATCCCCACAAGTAGCTGGAATTACAGGCATGAGCCACCACGCCCAGGCTAATTTTTGTATTGTAAGTACAGATGGGTTTCACCACGTTGGCCAGGCTTGTCTCAAATTCCTGGCCTCATGTGATCCGCCTGCCTCAGCCTCCCAAAGTACTGCAGTTACAGGCGTGAGGCACTGCCCCCAGCCATGTTAGGTTCCTCGTCTTCCACATGAAATTATAAATTTTACTCTTTGCTTGATTGTCCATGCATGGAATCTGACCTACTAAATAATATAGAATTTCTGTATTCCAGGTTCTTGTTAGAGAAAATAAACTCTCAACTGTTAAATTCAGAAGTTTAGTTGCCAGAAAGATGACCTGAAGGATGTGCATTCCATTTACCCACCTATTCCATTTTATGCTCAGCCCAATCCAGATCATTGAAGTTTTGTACCAAGACTGCATTGTATCCTGGGTAGAGTCGTCTTTTCTGACCTCCACTTTGACACCATACTTTGGCCTACAGCAACATATTTGTAAAATTTCTTGTAAGGAAAGTTTATTTTAAAGCCATAATTGTATAATGTTGTTGAGGATATTGTCTATACAGTGTCTCCAGAAAAGATATTTTGCCCAGATTCAGTACCTAAAAACTGGTATTGGTTAAATCCTTCTTTCCTCTGGCTGCTATGTTCAGAGGCAAATATGTGGCTCACCTCTGTCAGCCATGGTGATCTTATGATATCTATTTTTGGTACTGGCTCTACCTCTAGGTTCATCTCAGTTTCTTACCCACCATTCCCTCACACACACACACATATATTTCCATATTTATTTTTATTTTCTGTATATCTCTGTAATTGCTTCAAATTCTCTTGTGCAGTGAGAGTGGTATAAATAAAAAATAGAATCAAATATACTTTATATTTCTTTTGTCAGGTATATCAATTTGAAATTAATATGGAAAGGCCTTAGAGAGAGTGTATTAAGTGATTAAAAGATGGAAACTGGCCGGGCGCGGGGGCTCACACCTGTAATCCCAGCACCTTAGGAGGCTGAGGCAGGTGGATCACTTGAGGTCAGGAGTTCAAGACCAGCCTAGCCAACATGGTGAAACCCTGTCTCTACTAAAAATACAAAAGTCAGCTGGGCATGGTGGCACATGCCTGTAATACCAGCTACTTGGGAGGCTGAGGCAGGAGCATTGCTTGAACCCAGGAGGTGGAGTTTGCAGTGAGCCGAGATTGTACCACCGCACTCCAGCCTGGGCAACAGAGCGAGAGTCCTTCTCAAACAAACAAACAAACAAACAAAAAGATGGAAATTTAGGATCAGAGAGATAAGGATGTAAATCCCAGCTCTACTGTTTATTGGCTGTGTGACCTTAGTCAAATTGCAGCATCTTTAAGCTTCACTTTCCTGATCTGCAAAATGGAGATAATGATAGTGCTCTCATGGGTTGCTATGAGGATAAGAGCTGTCCATACCTTATAAGGTTGTTGTAAGGATTAAATTAAAAAATACATAAAATGCTTGGTATATTGCCTACCACTAAAAAATTGCTTATAAATGTTATTTATTATGGTATTAATGTAATTAGGGGATGGTAATCTAACTTCACAGAGTTCCTGAACACCTGAAAATGTTGGCAAAATTTGACTGGAGAGGGGTCTTGTATAATGATCAAATCTCAAAAGGAACAGTCACTGAAAAAAAGGAATAAGAATTACTGAAGAACAGGATTCCCCTTTTGAATATTTTAACTTTGCTTGACTCTACATGATTTATATCCTACTCTACTTTTTGGTAAGAGTTGACCTGTCTGATAGATTACATTTTATCTACTACTTAAGTAGTTTTTCTGAGAAATTTTTGGAACAAATATGAAATAGCCTTTTTGATGGGCATTTTTGTTCTGAAATCTCATCTTTTACTCCAATCTCAGTTTTGTTTTGTTTGCATTGACATGATAGACTGGATACTGTCTTTTAACTTTTTGTCTATTGCTAACATTTTAAGTGTGCCTCACTAACTTAGGCAAAGTTTTATGGAGTTTAATTATGAATGAGCACCCCTTTTTATAGGGTAACTCAAATAGTTTCCATTTATTACCATGATTGTCAGTATTTGTCTTTTTCTCTCTCATTAAGTTTTTTTGTTGCTGTTTGATTTGCCTTCATTTGTAGAATTTCTAGGGCACATTTACTTTTTATCAGAATTATAACTTTTTATCAGTTATAAATCAATGAAGTAAATATGCTTTTTATCAGAATTATAACTTTTAACATTAAAACGCATGCTAATAGAATTATTTTTATTCTAACATTATTTTCCATTTCAGAAAAAATAAGAACAGTTATAAGAATATAGAAGACATATTACTTTCAAAGGACAAAATAACTCGTCAGCATAAAAAGGTTCAAACCAGCTAGATGCTTAGTCCCCGAGATAGCAAGTTGGGATTCTTTGTCTGAAAGACCAATCAAAGAATGGGTAGGAATAAAAGTAAGCTTTTAGGCTTATATATCTGGCCAGGGACATGTACAATTTTATATCTGGATAAGGGTATAAAAGGAATCATTGGTACTCAAGATCAGCTTGTCTGCCAGCCCAATCAGCCATTTGCAAATAATACATTTTCTCACTCCCTCCTGTATTTCTAACAGTTTTAATTACTGTATAAACCTTTCTGTTCTGTGTTCACTCAATCCTTGATCCTTACTATTTAACATATTGGGATGGGAGACAGCATCAGCCTTTTTCAGAGACACAGTAACATTCAATCAAATATTTCTTATCTTTCATACAAGGCAACTAATTCTATACAGCTAACGCAATGGTTTATGGTAACTTAGGCCATAATTAAAGAAACAGGCTAAAATATTATTAATATCTCTCTTCCAGCACCTTGAAATACCACTTAACTAGAATTTGGAGAGAGTGATGGTAGAAAAATACAGACCGCATTATCCCCTGTAATATAGATAGGATTGCCACCTTCCTAATATTTTAATATTTAATATCCTAATATTATAATTTCTCCCTTGAGTTACTGGGATTTACTTTATCCCTCTTAAGCTATAGAGCTTCTTTAGTTTGCTGCCCTAGCTACTGCAGTTGTTGTACTGCAAGTCTTATTTCCTATTCTGTTGCTGAGCTGACCCACCACACCTTGTCCCATTTGAAAGATCCTTGCTTACACTTAGGTTTATATCTCTTATCTTCTCCTAAGCCTAAGTAGTTTTCTCCCTGCTTCTAGACCCTTTTACTCTATGAGCTAGCATTTTCAGAATTTTTTAATTTTTCCATGGCCAGATAGCCCACCCAGTAAAAGCCATCCACTCCATAATGTCAGGGTCATAGGAGCCAGAGATTGAGTTTCATTGTGACTTAGCAGCATGAAACTGTTTGTGAAACTGTGTAGGCCTTATAATTATCAAGACATGTTTTTAAATTTATTAATTAATTCTACTTTGTTTTCTTGTTTTTAATGCTGAGGTTGGCATTTTAATTTCAAAATGGAAATAGTATTTGTAAGATTATTTGAAAAAAAATACATGCACGATTCTATGTCTGGTAATGGCTAAGATTGCTCCTAATGGACCAACTTTCCACAGATAGCAATCATAAATTCTGGACAAAGTGTAAAAAAGCACTGAAGGCAATGGAGAACAACCACTTAGAAGAAGAAAATGACACTGAGTGAGTTTCCTGTTTTTTACAGCTTCTAGCCTGAGAGAAGGTCCCATCCATGGGGCAGCCAAAACTGGAAGAGAAATCCACTGTTTTACTGGCTTGAAAAATCAGAAGATAAAATTGTAGTCACTACTGCAGATGTAAAGTGAGTAGGAAATCTCAGGAAGAAGATACCAGATAGAAGAAGACCCATACTCTTATTATAAAGTCTGTCAAAATTTTATCTGATACCTGAACTACACATGTGAAAGACAGGCTCCAAACAGCACAGTTAAAGATAAAGAAATTTAACTGAGATTTCAGCTGACCAACGTATGGGGGACAGAGTTTGGGATTTCAGTTCAGCCAAGTTAATTGTTTGCTAAAATAATTAAAAATCAACATCTTTCAGAACATAATAGCAGAATCCAGACTCTAAAATATGTCACTCACAATGTCCAGGTCAAGGTTACAAATATATGAAGAAACAGGAAATACATACTCAAGAGCAAAAACCAAAACTCAAAAGGCAATGAAGACAACCCCACCACCACCAAGATAACCTAAATTTTGGATTTATCAGACAAAGCATTTATAATATGCTCAAGGGCTTGAAGGAAAATACACTTGGATAAATAAATAGGAAATCTCAAGAGAAATAAAAACTATTAAAAAAACCAAATGGAAATTCTAGAATTTAAAAATATAGTATTTAAAATAAATGTCACTAGTTGTGCTTAACAGCAGCATATTGGAGATGAAGGAAGAGTCAGTTCACTTAAAGATAAATCAATAAAAAGTATCCAATCTAAAGAACAGAGGAAAGTGGGGAAAGCCTGTAATAAAACAGACAGAAGCTCAGGAGTCTAATTATGTGTAATTATCATCCCCAAAGGGAAAGAGGAAGAACATGAAGTTGGAAAAAATATTTGAAAAAATAATGACCTAAACTTTCCAATTTTGGTGAAAGACATAAATTATAAATTTATGTCTTTCAAGCTTAGCAAACCCAATCAGGATAAATATGAAGAAAATTTTGTCTAGGGTCATTACAGTTAAAGTGCTGCAAACTAAAAAGAATAAGAAAATCTTGAAAACAGAGAAAAATAAATTATAGAATTACATAAAGGGACATCAATGTAAATGATGACTCACTTCTCATCAGAAATAATGAAGGCCAGAAGACACGGAAACGGTATTTTTTAAATGCCAAAAGAAAAAAGCTGTCAACTCTGAAATACAAATCCAGTGAAGATATTATTAAAGAACAGTGGAGAAATAAAAACATTTCCAGAAAAAAGAAAACTAAGGGGATTACTTACCAGCATACCTAACACTGTAAGAAATGCCAAGAAAATTCTACAGACTGAAAAGAAATAAAACCAGCTTGAATTTCAGCTCTTCAAGAAGGAATGAAGAACATGAGAAATAGTAAATATGTGGGTAAATATGATTTTTAACTTCTTTAAAATATGATTATGCAAAACAAAAATCACGTAATATTGTGAGGTTTACATATGTATACGTAATATATAATTCTCTGTGTATTATATATAACAACCATAGCATAAAGGAGAGGTTGTAAATGGATCTATACAGTTGCAAAGTTCTAACATTTATATCAAATGATAGGATATTAACTACTATCTAGACTGTGAGAAGTTAAGGATATATTTTATAATCCCTAGAGCAATGGTTCTCAAATTTTTTGGCCTCAAGACCCCATCACACTCCTAAAAATTATTGATGATGCCAGAGAGCTTTTGTTTGTGTATATTATATCTATTAATACAAATCATACTATAAATAAAAAATTAAGAGATTATAAAAATATCCATTTATTAATTTATTTAAAATAAATCCATTACATTCTAACAAATAACATGTTTTATAAAAAAATTTTTATAAAACAAAATAATACTGAGAAGATTGGCATTGTTTTACATTTTGCAAATCTCTTTAATATCTGACTTAATAGAAGACAGCTAGATTTTTATGTCTGCTTCTGCATTCAATCTATTGTGGTATGTTGTTTAGGTTGAAGCATATGAAGAAAATCCATCCTCACACATATATATAGTTGGAAATGGAGGAGAATTTTAATAGACTTTTCAGATAATTGTGGATATCTTCTTTAATACTACACCAAAACTCAGAAGTGGAGGTTTCTTAAAGGTTAGTTGCCATGTGGAATATAAAACCATATTGGTGAACTTTTTGTCCTCTCCATTGGTCAATCTTGCATTTGAATCATTTTGTAACATCGCGCATTAATCATTTGGAAAAGAATGGTCCTAGATCTTCAAAATGTTGATACATTTCATTAGACAATATTCAAAAGCATGTGTTAATTATCAGACCATCTCATTAGAAAAGTCTTTTAGTTTTAAGAAGCTGTTAATCTTACAGTACAAGTATGTACAAGTTTCTAAAAATTACAATTTTCACTTAAAAGCTTACATTTTATCATTGGAAATAAATGCTGCCAGATGTTTTCATTGAAGTGATACACTCATTTTATTTATTTTTGAAAAAAAATATGCCCAGTAGCCAAGTCCAAATAACCATTGTTTGTCTGCCAGAGTTGTCTGTCAGGTAAAAAATGGTGTTCTATGAAAAAAAGTGGTTAGATCCACTAACAAGTCAATCACGTAAGTGCTTTTCCTCAATACAGCTGCTGTACTTGAGTGTGCAGCAGAATTACTTTAAGGGCACATCTCATCACATAGAATGTTAAATACACATGTACTCTAGGGTTTATATTTAATATAAATTATATTTTCAGTGCTTCACCAAAGACATTCTTCAATGAAACTGACTTTCTTTTTTTAAGTACAAGTGCATGGTAGTGAAGAATATAGTCACTGCCGGTACAGTTCATTGCCACCGTCTTGATTTGTGCTAAGGCCCAATAATTTTACACACAATTGGTCTAGCACAGATAATGAATTTATCAACACAGTTGGCCCAGGATAAACAATCAGAAAAGTTATTCAACACTTTGATTATTTTGGTACCACTTGTGTTTCCTATCAGGCGTTGACATAAAAGAATATTTTCTTGGATGATTAGTTGGTGCTGACACCATATAAATGCAACAAAATAAGCCCTGCCACATCTGTACATTCATTCATTTGTAAGACAAAAATGTGTTTGTAGACAAAACATTAACTTAATCTTTACATTTTCAGTTAAATCCTTAAATCAGTGAATTTCTGTATAATTGGAAATGGCAATGCCATGGTTCTTTTATAAACTTTCCATCCAGCAGGCATTCAGCAATGTCAATTATATAAGGCTATACTAGTTTCTAAGCTATTGTGTACTTTATTGGCCAATGCGATATAATAACTTAGCCTTTAAAATGCTTCAGTGAGTGGCCATTTCCTTTCTAGTCTGGAAAGTTATAAAAACAATATTTGGTGTTTAAAGCATTCATGATACCTACATCTAAAATTTGAATTCCTTTTGCTTTAAACTCTGAATGATTGGTCTCAAAGTGATGCTGCAGCTTAACTTGGACCATGAAACTATTCAAAAATGTTCTGTTACAGAAGACACAATAAGGTAAATTATTAACATTTATAAAGCTTACTGAAAGAGGCTTCATAATATTTTCATAATATTTTTTCCTTATTTATAGTTTCACTCAGTTCATTTGACGTAGATTCCTCTCTTCATTGAGTCAGAGAACTGTCTATCACTTTCATCTTTCTCAGCATCTTAGAGGTAAACAGGGACGTTGGATGTTGGGAAAATTATAGTGCTAAAATATATAACACAAAATTTACCATTTTAACCATTATTAAGCATAGTCAGTGTCAAGTATAGTTCATTATCATTAAGTACATTCATATTGTTGTGCAGCTGTGACTACTGTTCATTTTCAGAATGTTTTTCTCATCCCATACTGAAATTCTGTATCCACTAAGCAACAATTCCCCCATTTCTAAGCTAATGATCCATTCTTAAATATGAAAATATATATAATTTTTTATTTTAAAGTAAAATATTCTAAAATCAGTTTTATTTCTAATTAAATTTTTTTAAGTTTTTGAAGAAAATTCTTAAATATTGTAAAATAAATCTTCATGGTATACGTATTCTTGTGTTTCCATGTAGGTGTGAGCACAATTCTAAATAACCCATGGGTAAAAAAAAAAAAAAGAAAGAACAAGGGACATTAGAAAAGATTTCAAACTGAAGGATAATGAAATAAAATATATCAAAATTTGTGGAATGCAGTAAAAATTGTACTTGAAGGGAAAAGCACAGATTTAAATAATATATTAGAACATAAGGATATAAAATGAGTGACTCAAGTTTCTCCCTTAGAAATGGTAGTGGGAGTGTGTGGAGTAGGAAAAAGTAAGCCCAAAGTAAGTAATAGAACTGAAATAGTCCAGGCATGGTGGCTTTGGGAGGCTGAGGCAGACAGACAGTTTGAACTCAGGATTTTGAGAGCAGCCTGAGCAATATGATGAAACCTCATCTCTACAAAAAATACAAAAATTAGCCGGGTGTGGTGGTATGCACCTGTAGTCCCAGCTGCTCAGGAGGCTGAAGTGGGAGGATAGCCGGAGCCTGGGAGGCAGAGGTTGCAGTGAGCCGAGATCATGCCACTGCACTCCATCCAACGCAACAGAGCCATATGCTGTCTCAAAAAAAAAAAAAACTGAAATAATAAAGATAAAAATAGAAATCAATGAAATAGGAAACAAAAAATGGAGAAATTAAAGCCAAAAGTTGATTCTTGAATACATCAGTCAATTTGATCTACAGGAAAACAGTGAAAATACAAATTGCCAATGTTATGAATGAAAGAGGGACTATCACTAAACATCTTACAGACATTAAAAGACAAGAGGATATATGAACAACACTTTGCTGGTAAATTTGAGAACTGAGATGAAATGGACAAATTCTTTTAAATATACAACTATAAATTGATAGAAGATGAAATTGTATTTTATCTTAGATTTTGTAATCTAAGTAGACCCATATTTATTAAAGAAATTAAAGTTATTATCAGAAATTTCTCAAAACTGCAGCTCCAGATGATTTCACTGGTTAATTCATCAAATATTTAAAGAAGAAACAACACCAATAGTATACAAACTCTTAGAAAATAGAGGAGGGGGCTGGACACGGTGGCTCACACCTGTAATCCCAGGGCTTCGGGAAGCCGAGGCGGGTGGATCACAAGGTCAGGAGTTCAAGACCAGCCTGACCAATATGGTAAAACCCCATCTCTACTAAAAATGCAAAAATGAGCCAGGCGTGGTGGCGCGCACCTGTACTCGCTTCTACTCGGGAGACTGAGGCAGGAGAATCGCTTGAACCCAGGAAGTGGAGGTTGCAGTGAGCCAAGATTGCACTACTGCACTCCAGCCTGGGTGACAGAGTGAGACTCCATCCCAAAAAAAAAAAAAAGAAAAAGAAAAGAAAATAGAGGAGGGAAGAACACATCTTTTTTTTTTTTTTTTTTTTTTTTTTTTTTTTTTTTTTTTGAGACGGAGTCTTGCTGTGTCACCCAGGCTGGAGTGCAGTGGCGTGATCTCGGCTCACTGCAATCTCCGCCTCCCAGGTTCACATCATTCTCCTGCCTCAGCCTCCCGAGCAGCTGGGACTACAGGCACCCGCCACCATGCCCGGCTAATTTTTTGTATTTTTAGTAGAGACGGGTTTTCACCGTGTTAGCCAGGATGGTCTCGATCTCCTGATCTTGTGATCCACCTACCTCGGCCTCCCAAAGTGCTGGAATTACAGGCGTGAGCCACTGCGCCCGGCCAGAAGAACACTTGTTAGACCAGGTTTTATGAGACCAGCATTACCTGATGCCAAAGCTTGACAAAGATAGAGTGGCAGCCCTCTGTATTCACAGGTCCTACATCCGTGGATTCAACTAACCTTGAATTGAAAATATTAAATAAATACAAAGTAACAATACAACAATAAAAATAATACAACTTAAAAAACAATACAGAATAACAACTATTTACATATCATTTTTCACAGTATTCAGTATTATAAATAATCGAGATGATTTAATGTATACAGTAGGATGTGCACATTATATGTAAAACTATACCATTTTATGTAAGGGACTTGAATATCTGTGGAGTTTGGTATCCACAGGAGGTCTTGGGACCAATCCATGGATACTGACAGATGGCTGTACATTAACACTTACAGACTAGTGTCCCTAATACTTAGAGATAAAATCTAATCAACATATAAAAAGCATAATTTATTGTGTCCAAGAGATGTTTATCCTAGGAATGCAGCGAGAATCAGTGTCATTCACTACATTAAAACAAAAGAGAAAAACCACATAATCATTTCAATAAACAATGAAAAGGCATTTGACTAAATTTGGTACCCTTCATGATTAAAAAAAAAAAACCTCTCAGCTAATAGTAGAAGAAAAGGAAAGTACTTCAATATCATAAAAGGCATCTACTAAAAAACCTAAAATTAATGTCATACTTAAATATTGAATGTTCTCCCCCTAAGATTGGAAACAAAGCAAGGATGTCAGCTCTCACCATTTTTATTCAATATTCCAATAAGACAAGAAAAAGATACAAAAGGTAAACAATGGGAATTAAGAAGTAAAACTGTCTCTAATTGCAGATAACAATTGTTTAAGGAGAACATCTTAAGGCATCTACTAAACAACTAGAATAAATGACTTTAGCAAGTTCTCAGAATAGGTCAAAATACAAACAAATTGTATTTTTATATATAACAGGAATAATCAACTGGAAAATAAAATTTAAATGAACAACACCATTTACAATAGTAGCTCAAAAAAAAGATATTTAGGAATAAATTTTCCAAAAAGCAAGCAATATCTGTATACTGAAAACTACAAAATACTGCTAAGAAAAACCAAAGAAGACCTAAAATTAGTGAAGAGATATACCATGTTCGTGGATTAGAAGATGCAGTATCATTAAGATGGCAATTCTCCCCTAATGAATCTGTAAATTCAATGCAAACCAAATCATAATTTTACCATGCTTTTTTTTAAAAAAGGAAATTGGGCTGGAGGTGATGGCTTACACCTGTAATCCCAGCACTTTGGGAGGCCTTGGTGGGAGGATCACTTTGGCTTAGGAGTTCAAGACCAGCCTTGGCAATGTAGTGAGATGCTATTTCTACAAAAAATTTTAAAATTAGCCAGACATGGTGGTGTGCACCTGTAGTCCTAGCTAACTGGGGAGCTGAGGTAGGAGGATCCCTTGAGCCCAGGAAGTCAAGGCTGCAGTGAGCTTTGATCACACCAAAGCACTTCAGTCTGGGTGACAGAGTGAAATCCTGTCTCAAAGATAAGTAAAAATTTAAAAATTGAAATTGACAGGTTGGCAAACTCACCAAGTGGTATACAGCTTTTCACATGTCAATCATACCTCAATAAAGTGGTTTAAAAAGAAGACAAGTTGATTCCAAAATTTGCACGACAATGCAGATGATCTAAATATTTAAAGTGTGCTGTCTGGGCAGTGCGGTGGCTCACGTCTGTAATCCCAGCACTTTGGGAGGCCGAGGTGGGTGGATCACAAGGTCAGGAGATGAGACCATCCTGGCCAACGTGGTGAAACCCCATCTCTACTAAAAATACAAAAATTAGCTGGTCATGGTGGCACGTGCCTGTAATCCCAGCTACTCAGGATCCTGAGGCAGGAGAATCGCTTGAACCTGGGAGGTGGAGGTTGCAATGAGCCAAGATCACACCACTGCACTCCAGCCTGGCGACAGAGCAAGACTCCGTCTCAAAAAATATATGTATATTAAAAATAAAAAATAAAGTAGTGCTTTCCTATGGAATTTTCTGTGTTAATGAAAATATTCTTTAGCTGTACCATTCAGTATGATAGCTAGCCAAATGTGACTTAAAAAGTGGCTAGAGCAACAAGAACTGTTTAGGAACTTTTAGTTTAATTTAAATGTAAATACTCTCATGTGGCTAGTGGCTATTGTGTTGAACAGTGCAGAAAGTAACCCTGAAAATGAAAGGGATTCATACTACATTATGTTGAAACTTAGTATAAAGCTACAATAATTAAGACAGCGTGCTACTGACATGAGAAAGACAGATTAGTAGAACAGAATGAGAGCTTAGAAATCAATCTACACTTAATGTGGTTTATTGATTTTTGACAAAGATGGTAAAGCAATCCAATACCACAAGGAATTTTTTAAACTAGTGGTGCTGAAGCAACTCGATATCCATATGGAATAAAATGAACCTCCAACTCCATTTCATACCATACACAAAAATTAATTCAAAATGGAACATAGACCTAAATGTAAATGAAACAAGTGAAAAGCTTCCAAAAGAAAACAGGGTAGTTGCAGCAGATTTCTTAGAGGGGCAATAAAAAGTAACCATGAAAAAAATAAGTTGATAAATTAGAAATAATTAAAATTTAAAATTTCTCATCAGGCTGGGCATGGTGGCTCATGCCTGTAATCCCAGCACTTTGGGAGGCCAAGGTGGTCAGATCGCTTGAGGTCAGGAGTTCAAGACCAGCCTGGCCAACATGGTAAAACTCCGTCTCTACTAAAAATACAAAAATTTGCCAGGTGTGGTGGCAGGCACCTGTAATCCCAGCTACTCGGGAGGCTGAGGCAGGAGAATCACTTGAACCCGGTAGACAGAGGCTGCAGTGGGCCAAGATTGCACCACTGCACTCCAGCCTGGATGACAGAGGGAGACTGTCTCAAAAATAAAAAAGAAGTTAAAATTCTTATCAAAGGCAAGACTGAGAAAATGCAAAGACAGGCCACAGACTTAAAGAAAATGTTTGCGATACGTATATCTGACAAGAGTTGATTGTCAGCATATATAAAGATCTCCTACAACTCATTGATTTAATAAGACAACCCAATTTGGAAGTGGTCAAAAGATTTGAATAGATTCTTCACAAAGAAGATATACAAATGGCCAATAACACAATATTATTAGTCATCTGGGAAATGCAAATTAAAACCAAAATGAGACATCACATCTTCCAGCATGGCTAAAAAGATTGACAGTCCCAAATGAGGCCTAGAATTGGACAGTTTGGTGGAAAAACTGAAACTCTCACACTTTGTTGGAAGTATAAAATTGTACATCCATTTTGGGAAAAGATTTGTCAATTTCTTACACAGCTGAACTTAACGACCACCATATGACCCAGCAATTCCGCTCTTAGGTAGTTACCCAAAAGAGGTGAAAACATATCCACAAAACTATTTGTACAAGAATATTCAAAGACTCTATCTAACTGTCATATAAACAAACTCATATAATCAGAAAGTGGAATTAGTGTGATTTACTTTCTCAATTTTCCTGGGTCTCAGTTTTCTAGGATGTGGGACTTCAGGTGCTAAAACCAGAAAACCCCTAAGCAAATCAGGAAGAGTTGGTCACTGTAATTATCCTCTCAGCAATAAAAACAACTAACTCCTGATAGATACATCCAAAAACAAGGATGAATCTCAGAAACATTCTGCAGAGTGAATGAAACATACAAGAGTTCATATTCTATGGTGCCACTTACATGAACTTCTAGAGCAGGTAGAACTAAGTTGTAAAAACCAAAGCAGGGGAGCATTTGTGTTTTGGGTTTGGTTGATGGAAGGGGTGTGAGGGAACTTTCTGGAATGATGATGTTCTGTATTTTGGTGGAGATTTGGGTTACATGTGTGTATACATTTGTCAAAACTCAATGACTAGTAGGTTAAGGTGTCTGCATATCTGCGTTCTAAAAGTATCTGTAAACACTATTGAACTCCAATGTTATGGATACTGAGGTGTTTAGGAGTGAGGTGTAACTCTTTTTCACTTATCAAGTGTGGAATTTCTTTAAAAGTGGTATGTAGGTGTCAGAGACCGGGAAAGGAAAATCATTCCTTGAGAATTTCTCCTGAGTTGAATTGCTTGTTCTGACTCTATTTTAGGAAGGTTTTCTTCGACTTTCGATAACACTTTCTATGTCGCTGGATCCTTATTTTTCATTTTGTAATCCTGTATTTTGTGGGGGTGAATCTTTTGTTTTCCAAATCAATGGGTGTCTTTCATTGTTTTATGTATGTAATTTGACTAGAGGTTGTTTTGTTTGTTGTATTAATTCGGCATTATTGCTTCTTTGCTCTTTTCTCACAATCTTTTTTTAAAAGCTTCTATAGTATTTACAAATTTAAACAGTTTCTCTGTATTATAGCATGTTTCTGACAGTTGTCATATTTCCCAAAGCAGTGCATATAAACTTTTGCAGTTATTTTTGAGGATGGTAATTCTTACAGCATCCTGTTTTCTTGTTCTTGTTTCCTTACTTTTCTTTAATAATACATTACTTCTAAAATTGGATCTGGATTGGTTTAGATTAACTTTTATTAACTTTTTTTGGATTCACAAAAATAAAATAGCATATTGTAGAAAATTTTAGCCTTAATTTTTAAGTTTTGCCAGTTTTATTTTCACACATACTTTTTGTGATGGTAGTGTGTTAGCTCAAAGAAGGTGCTCTGTTACTATCCCAGCATCTTTCAGGGTATCTTTTATCTTTTAGTTCTTTCTTTTCATATACCTCTAAAATGAATTGTTCTGAGGAAGTCAGTTATAATAATGGTTCTCAACCCCGCAAGAGCCCCGCAAGACCCAGTGCAGTTCTAATAACAAACATTTTTAATTACCTGTTTCTACCCTGAAATTAATGGATTTTTAACCTACCTACACACATAAAATTCAGTGTAATTGCCTTAATTGTAACATAAAGAGGAAATAAAAGGAGAGCAATTAATAAATATTTCAACATGTTACTTTTAGAGCATGATGTAATAGATGTTTGTGTTTAGACACAGAAACCATGAATGGGGCAGCTATAAATGCAGACTATTACAGGTGTGTTGCATTGGTCACTTGTATACCACAAGCAGTATTGCTGTCAATGTCATGATTTTCTGAAATATTTGAACAACTGATAAAATTCTGAAGAAAACAAAGCACAAATTTCCTTCAATTTACACATTCTATGTGTTTGTGGAAATTTGGGCCTCTATTTAAACTATGTAAATATATACTTCGTTTATATTCAAAACGGAATTAGGTTCTGACTCAGATAATTATAAACAGGTGTTTCATCTTCATGACTGTCCAGGAGGACATTAGAAAGTTATCAAGGCCAGAGGACAGTTAGCTTAGGTGGAGGATTCTCCTGTGACTTGCAAGTCATCTAGCATCCCTGGACGTTGTGCACTAAATGCCATAATTGCCCCTTAATCATTGTGACAACCAAACACAAACTTCCAAAACACTATACTGGGTGTTTCTGTGCAATGGAACTCTTTGGCAAGGATGTCACAGAGTAATTTTTTTAATGCATAAAATAAAATACATAGGATTGCAAAGAAAATGGATTGTATGGAAATACAGACCCCAGGTTAAGAATCTCTGCAAGAGGTGACTACCACACCCTTCTCCAATATACACACTCCAGTTGAGAACCACTAAGTTGGAAGGGCTTTTTATGTTGAGGGAAATGGTGAAAGCCATAGTCTTAAAATTTTAAGGATTTGAAAGTACATATGGGTGCCCAGAACATTTGCCATCAACACTGTAGCATCAATAGGGGACTAACAAGCACTCTGTAATAGAATCTAAAAGAATGAAAGCAAATAGCATAGGAACTCTATTTCTATTCTAATTTTGTATCAGAAATTAAGTGTATCAAATGAACTAATGCTTCTATTTTCCATTCTTTTCTCATTATGACTAAACTACCTCTTTGATTAACATCAATTAAAGTTCAGATCTTTTGCCAACTTGTTTATTCATATATTACAAGGCAACCTTGGCAGAACAAAATCTTTCTCCAGCTGCTATTTGGCAAGTTGGCAAAAAAAAAAAAAAAACTTACACATATTAAACACAAGCAGTTCTAGGAATAGGAATTGAAAAGCAAGATAATCAAGAGTTTATTTCAACAGGTACTCAGTGCTTTGTAGGAGTGCATTGCAAGAGGTGACCATATTGTATGTACATGAATAGCTTGTCGTGACAAATGTGTAGAATACTAAAGATGATGATTTTTATTTGTTTTAGGGTATGTCTCTGTGCCAGACTGTCGTCGTGGGCTCTGTAGTCATTCTTCTGTACTCTTCCAGAGCTTGTTATAATTTGGTGGTGGTCACCATATCTCAGGATACATTAGAAAGTCCATTTAATTATGGCTGGGATAATCTTTCAGATAAGGTAAATACCTACCACGTATTGCCAGTCTAACAATGTGATAATTAACTTACCCTCATCTAGAAGAACACTGTAGTGTTTGACTTACAAACACATTTATGGAATCTCTGTCTACTGTCAGTAATCATACTTAAAGCTTTGTGTTTAAAAATCTTTATGTACGTGTGACATTTGAAATCATTCTTCACAGAGAACTTCTCTCAAAGGAGTATTTTCTCTCTCTTTTTTGGTAAATAATAATAGTGCCACAAGCCTCTCGGTCATATGCTAATTTTACTTATTTTTGTTAATGATGATGTTTAAATATTTCTAGATAAATGAATTCCCTATTATTAGCCAGTGAATATGGTCTTTGTTAGGAGGAAAGTAACTCTCCCCTACCCAAGAACTACATATACTCTTAATATTTGGTTCAGGTTAACATGTTTAAATAATGGCTTTCATAAAAATCTGGCTTTGTCAGTCTTGATAATGGGAGAGCATTCGTAGTTCCTTGGGTGTCCAGGTATTTGCTATCGTAATTCCCAGTACTCTAACTACGCATATTTAACTTCCTAGCATTCCCATATGCTTCCTAAACATACATTTTGACATAGCTATATGTCATATCTTTATAGTAATTTAGCTTTGTACTGAATTTAAGGGTTCCGGGAATACTATTTTTCATTTACCTTTCTAAAGTGAAGGAATTTTCACATGTGGTTCCTTGTGGCAGATTCTATTCACTCCTTTTTCCATTTCCCTCTTCCAACATCTGATAGAACAGAAACAAATTTAATATGTAGATTAGGTCCAAAAGCATATTTTAAGTAGAGCTGAGCTGAGTGACTTAACATGTTACATTTTTCTATAGGTGTAATTAGGGTAAGTGCTGTTATTTTGCCTATGGAGCAGCTGGAACAGTAATGTCTTTAAAAGTCACTCTCTTTAGATTATGGGGCCTAAATAGGAGATCACTCCTTATTATCCATATATTAAAATTGTCATAAACTGATACATTGAAAAAATTAACTGCTTTTTATTTTTTGTAGCTTCAAAGCATTTTATGTCCTTTAAAGGATAAGTGTCATTTCATGAGAAACCACAAAATATAGAAAGTTTTAGAGTTTATGTGCTTGTAGTTGATATATTTTATCTTACCTGACTTGAAACAAGTTAACTGTGGAGGTGATTGCTTATACAATAAACAGATGTAAAAATTCTCTGCCATGCTCTATTTACAGGCTCATGTAGAAGACATAAGTGGAGAAGAGTATATAGTATTTGGAATGGTCCTCTTTCTGTGGGAACATGTGCCAGCATGGTCGGTGGTACTGTTTTTCCGGGCACAGAGATTAAACCAGAATTTGGTATGATATAATATTCCCCAATGCCTGTTCTCCTATTTTTAAAAATTATGGAACATTTATATTGATTTTCTATTTTTGGCAAAGGTTAAGACTAAAAATTATTATAGATTCTAGCCTCCTTTCTTAGTGGAAAAGTAAAACCTTCATATGCTATCTAATACTTTGTTCACAGGCACCTGCTGGCATGATAAATAGTCACAGTTATAGTTCCAGAGCTTACTTTTTCGACAATCCAAGACGATATGATAGTGATGATGACCTGCCAAGACTGGGAAGTTCAAGAGAAGGAAGGTAGATGTAACAAAGCCACTTAGCCTGAATTACTATTGAAATTGATTGAAAAAAACAAATCTAAGCTTTAACCAAAATATGAAAAAAGGTGATTTAGTGGTAATATGTCAATAAATAAGATCGGCAATACTGGAGTTTAAAGCAGTAGATGTTAAACCCAGGGTGGGACCTGCATTATCAGGAACTACCATTTGACTCAAAGCCTATATGCCTTTTGGCTAAAATGGTACCATTTCATTTCGGGATCACTTGTTGGTTCAGAGCTGTTTGTGGGAGGGGGATGCACAAGGAAGAAATACTATTATAGTGATTATATGTCTGTTTCCATATCTTTAGTGCTGGTCAAAATCCAGAGAAACCCTAGATAAAACTCTTGGGAAGCTTAATTGCCATAGGAAATGTTCCCATGCCCTCCTTGTTACAAAACCATTTCAAGTCCGTAACTAGTACACTATTGACTGTGATTCGGGCAAAGAGGAAAGCTTAATGGCTGAAGCCATGAAGCATAATGGCTTCAGCTTGATATGACATTTTCTGTAATCCTAACTTCATCTGGGCAAGTTATATAACCTCAGTTTTTTGAACCTGCTTTTCATCTGTAAGACAGGGATAATAGAACCTATTTCAGAGGTTTGTTGTGAGAAATGAATGTATATGTGTGTCTGCATACATACATACATACATACATAGATGTCTTAGAATAGAGCTGAGTACATAAGGACTACATTGTTGTCATCTGACAATCAAGTTCTACCAGTTCTGAGTGGCATTTATTCATTCTTTTGTAACATACTGCGATATAGAATCCAGGATATTAGATAAAAGTCATTAAATTTGTAGAAAAGCATTTTGTTATTTGACAAAGAACATATTTCAATGTATTTGAGTGCTAACTTTATTACAAAATTCATTGAAAATGCTAAAAATTCAAATGTGACTTCTTATATCCTGATCATAGTCCTATGGTCTTTTTGCCTTTTTTTTGTTGCAGTTTACCAAATTCGCAAAGTTTGGGCTGGTATGGCACCATGACTGGGTGTGGCAGCAGCAGTTACACAGTCACTCCCCACCTGAATGGACCTATGACAGATACTGCTCCTTTGCTCTTTACTTGTAGTAATTTAGATTTGAACAATCATCATAGCTTATATGTGACACCACAAAACTGACAGCATCACCAAGTCATGATTCTTGAGTTGTTTTTCATAAATGTGTATATTCAATGTGTTTAAATTCCATCTACATAAACATTCCATTATCTGTTGCAACTGAAAACAAAATCTGGAAGTGTGGCTGTGTTTGGTAAATAACACAGCTATTATTTTTGACCTCTTCATAGTAAAATGAAGTAAAATGGAAAGTTTGGAGTAGGAGAAAAGAGAGATTAGATCTTAAGGCACTTGATGGCCTCCAAAAATCCTGACTTTGGAACATCAAATGCATATGTGCACTTTTATCTTTGTTCTGAGTCACTGCAGTCCCCAAAGTCATATGCCAATGTTCACACTGAAATACTGTATTGTACACCAAACTGGAAGGCAATTTTCCTATGAAAATCAAAGCCGGTATATTCATTGGTATGCTCTATACAGATATCTTAATAAAAATTTTATAGTGTGAACAGTGCACAGAGTTAAGGCATAAAAATGTATCATTCTTTATAAAAATCTACTGAAAATGTGTAATCATTGAAGACAGTTCTTTTAAGCATGATTTTAAAATAGCAACTGAAATTCAATCATTTTAAACAAATGATGGTAGTAATCCATTAGTTATGGCCAGCAGTGTTCTTTGGAGAGCCACAATAATTTCAAGAGGAAAATATACCAGTGAAAATTGTGTGGCTATTTTGAGTAGAATTGGTCAGTTGATTATTTTGTGTAATTGAGATATATGTAGTAGTTTAAGCATGATTCTTGAAGAAAGCAATAGTGACTTTTGCATAGGGAGATTTTGGTAGAAACTTCTTGGGACTAAACAAGTTTAGAGATGCATTTAAGAATTATTCACAAAATGTGTAATTCTAAATTAAAACATAAATATATTTTCAAAAGCATTTGATTTCTCTGAAGCATGATATAGCTGGTCTTACCTAGTGAATCAGGATTGTCCTCAGGTAAATGAAATCATGATACATTATTGCAGTGAACTCAAGTGCAATACTTTGTAAGACATATAATTCCTATGATTTTCACATTTTTATATCTTATATATGGGAAAAGCCAAATTAAATTGAATTCAGATTAATTCCAGCATTAGACTAAATGAGCAAACTTAAGTAAATGTACAAACTAGGTAAGTATAAAACCACAGGTTAACAATATTGGAGTACTTTTAGAATTACATTAAAACTGTCTTAAATGTCCTATCCCAAATCTAAAAAAAAAGAAAATGGCAGGCTGAGATAATACAGAATTTTAAAATGCACTTTGTACCAGTGTCTATATGGAAAGAAGTAGATGCTGAATACCTCAAGATGCCAAGGGAACAAGCAACATTGGGAAGTTGTCACAACATGCTCAAAGACAAACTACAATTGTCTGCTAGCTATTTCTTCAGAACTGGAACTAATACGACTATCCTTTTCTGTTTTATACTTTGATTAGAATGTTATTTCCTCGCTTACTTAAAATGTACTTCAACTTTTTAACAACTGATACAATAACTTCATAAAAGTATAACACTAGGTTGAAACCTTAAGGAAAAATTGAAATTGTTAATGCTTTCGATCTTTTGGGAGGCCAGTACACAGACAAATAAATTTCTTCTTTTTATGATACAAAATGACTTTGTATTCAATCAGAAGCATATACTTATGTTATTTTGGGTTTGTTTATAATTCTCTCATTGTAACCAAATTATTTTAAAATGTATAGTATAAAAAGTTACCCGTGGTATTAAGTGACAAAAGCGTACTTTTATTACAACTCCAGTTGTTAGATTGCTTCTCAGAATGCTAACTGTTTATTTTGCTAATAATGTTAGGCATCTAATCATCTAGAGCTGTCCAAAAAGATATGTTGTCTTTGTTAATCCTTGGGGTTCAAGGTGATAAAGTTTTTCTAGTAAGGCTCCCCTCGATAATGTTCCTATTTGACCAAACTAACAAAGATTACTTTTTAAAAATTTTTCAGATAAAATAACTTGGTTCTTTCTGCTGCATTAGTTGATTGTTCCAAATTTGAGGTTTGTAAGTTTATTCTTATCACTGACTAGGGTACCCAAATTCTTGCATTTGTCTCCTTATACACATCTAACATATCACCAAAGACAAATAAAGATACACTCTGGCCCAATCTTTGCTTAAAAATTCCAAAGCACTAGGAGCACTTTAAGTTTGGTCTCGAAAGGAGTTGTTTATAAAATCAAAGGGCTACCGATTCCCTGTTCATCCTGCACTGAAGCACATGATGACAGTATCAAACCTTCATTTTTGTTCATTAAAAAGTGAATTTCATTACTTAAGTGTGTAATTCTATAGTGATTAGCAGTATTTGTTTTCATCATTTCACTTGGGTGGCCATTAATTTTGAAACCTTTACCACTCATTGTAGTTGGTTGTAGTTTTATGGAAAATGTAATTTATAGCTAAAGTGGCTTTTTTATGCATAGCTGCCTTTTTTATTGTTTAACAGTGTTTCTCAGCTATATAATCAGTTTCAAACTGGTTGTAAAAGTATAGCTGTGGCCAATGAATGTATTTATTTGTTGTTTCACTAAATTGTAACAAAACACTACTATTAAAAATAAAAGTGTTTGTGCTTTTATTTAGAGTTCTGGTTTTCTTCATCTCTTATAATGGACTATACTGAGTTTCTATCATATAAGAATAAGAACATAGTGCTACCACAAAAAAAAAAAAAATCAGGAGTTACAAATGATAGTTCGCCTTTAGTGATCTCATAATTACTTACATCTGGATGTCATATTGCTCCACATACACCAGTTTGACATGAAGTGCCATGCAGTTTAAAATGCCAATACGTTATTAGATAGTACAACATTTTTATTTTTATTTTTTAAGGGTTTTTTTTTAATACTTTAAGTTTTAGGGTACATGTGCACAATGTGCAGGTTAGTTACATATGTATACATGTGCCATGCTGGTGTGCTGCACCCATTAACTCATCATTTAGCATTAGGTATATCTCCTAAAGCTATCCCTCCCCCCTCCCCCCACCCCACAACAGTCCCCAGAGTGTGATGTTCCCCTTCCTGTGTCCATGTGTTCTCATTGTTCAATTCCCACCTATGAGTGAGAACATGCAGTGTTTGGTTTTTTGTTCTTGCGATAGTTTACTGAGAATGATTATTTCCAATTTCATCCATGTCCCTACAAAGGACATGAACTCATCATTTTTTATGGCTGCATAGTATTCCATGGTGTATATGTGCCACATTTTCTTAATCCAGTCTATCATTGTTGGACATTTGGGTTGCTTCCAAGTCTTTGCTATTGTGGATAGTGCCGCATTAAATGTACGTGTGCATGTGTCTTTATAGCAGCATGATTTATAGTCCTTTGGGTATATACCCAGTAATGGGATGGCTGGGTCAAATGGTATTTCTAGTTCTAGATCCCTGAGGAATCGCCACACTGACTTCCACAATGGTTGAACTAGTTTACAGTCCCACCAACAGTGTAAAAGTGTTCCTATTTCTCCACATCCTCTCCAGCACCTGTTGTTTCCTGACTTTTTAATGATTGCCATTCTAACTGGTGTGAGATGGTGTCTCATTGTGGTTTTGATTTGCATTTCTCTGATGGCCAGTGATGGTGAGCATTTTTTCATGTGTTTTTTGGCTGCATAAATGTCTTCTTTTGAGAAGTGTCTGTTCATGTCCTTCACCCACTTTTTGATGGGGTTGTTTGTTTTTTTCTTGTAAATTTGTTTGAGTTCATTGTAGATTCTGGATATTAGCCTTTGTCAGATGAGTAGGTTGCGAAAATTTTCTCCCATTTTGTAGGTTGCCTGTTCACTCTGATGGTAGTTTCTTTTGCTGTGCAGAAGCTCTTTAGTTTAATTAGATCCCATTTGTCAATTTTGGCTTTTGTTGCCATTGCTTTTGGTGTTTTAGACATGAAGTCCTTGCCCATGCCTATGTCCTGAATGGTAATGCCTAGGTTTTCTTCTAGGGTTTTTATGGTTTTGGGTCTAACGTTTAAGTCTTTAATCCATCTTGAATTAATTTTTGTATAAGGTGTAAGGAAGGGAGCCATTTTCAGCTTTCTACATATGGCTAGCCAGTTTTCCCAGCACCATTTATTAAATAGGGAATCCTTTTCCCATTGCTTGTTTTTCTCAGGTTTGTCAAAGATCAGATAGTTGTAGATATGCGGCGTTATTTCTGAGGGCTCTGTTCTGTTCCATTGATCTATATCTCTGGACCTCTTCAAGGAGAACTACAAACCACTGCTCAATGAAATAAAAGAGGATCCAAACAAATGGAAGAACATTCCATGCTCATGGGTAGGAAGAATCAATATCATGAAAATGGCCATACTGCCCAAGGTAATTTATAGATTCAATGCCATCCCCATCAAGCTACCAATGTCTTTCTTCACAGAATTGGAAAAAACTACTTTAAAGTTCATATGGAACCAAAAAAGAGCCCGCATCGCCAAGTCAATCCTAAGCCAAAAGAACAAAGCTGGAGGCATCACGCTACCTGACTTCAAACTATACTACAAGGCTACAGTAACCAAAACAGCATGGTACTGGTACCAACATTTTTATTTATTCAAACATTAAGCTAAGAAAAATTGTTGTATGAAATAATTTATAACACTTCTCCCCTTCCCTTCAGAATCTTAAACAGGAATCCATTTATCTACCTTATAATCCTAGGAAGGTATTATTTGATTATTCAAGAAATTCCTCAATGATGCTGCCTTTTCCCATGAAAGAAGTTCCTTTTTTTCCCCGAATAGACCCCTTTCATGACCCACCAAAAACCACACCAAATCTTGAATACAATTTCAGCTTTATTGACCCCCTAAAGTCTACAAATCCTTGGGACTCTACTGACCCTTGCTGTAAAGTGAAGGGAGTGAAAGTATTTGGAATATAGGTAGGACCTCTAATATAATAAAGATGTCACTTTAAAATCAATTTATTCAACAAACATTTATTAAACATTCATATGCCAAAAACTATGCTATGGAGATGCAAAAAATAAAAAGGTTCCTTTTCCTGCCCTTAAGGAGCTCACATTCTAGTAAAGACTTTTGAAAAATAAAACAATACAGTACGATTTAAGTGACATACAATAGAGGTAGGTTGTAATTACAGTGGTGACACGAAAGTGGAAGTTAGATGACTCTCCTTGAGTGGAGCAAAGGAGGTTTCACAGAGGAAATGCTTATGTCAGGCCTGCAAGATGCATAGGAATTTTCCAAGTGGGGAAGGATGACTAGCATACTTGATGCAAAGAGTACAGCATTTACCAAGGCGGGAGGCCTGGCCAAATGTGGCTTCTGAAGAAGTGTAAGTCTGTTTCACCAGAACATTCGGTGGAGGAAACACATCAGAAGACCTTGTACACCAAACAGAGGAGTTTGGCTTTCTCCTGAAAGTTCCTGAAGTCACTGAAGGATATTAGGGAGTAACACTGTCAGAGTGCTTCTAGAAAGCCTGCTGTGGTAACATTGAGCAACAGAGAGGAGACCAGCTAGGTATAGGAGGCAGGTTAGTACTGTAGGTATTTATTAATAATAGCAATGAAGATGAAAGAGTGATGTATCAGAGAGGTGGAGATAAAATCAGTAAAACTTAGACACTAAATGATAGGGGAAGGTGGAGGAGAGGAATGAGCCTAGAAAACTTAGAATATAATGGTTCTAAAATTAACCAAAGTAAGGGACACAGGCATTAGAGTAGGTTTTGCAGAGAATGAATGTTTTAAGACACACACAGGTGTCTCTGGGACAACCAAGAAAAGTGCAACAGGCAGATGGATTGAGGAGTCTGGCTAAAGATAAGGATTTAGGAACTGCTGAATTAAAATTACCCAAGCGTGAGAAGTGGTGTTGTGATTAAGAGAGAAAAAAAAAATGGAGGTCTGAGGAATAACATTTAAGGAATAAATGAAGAGGCCAAAAGGTGGGGGGTGGTTCAGGAGTGAGCAAAATGTAAGAAGTCAAGGGAATAAATCTTTAAAGTAGGGGTTGTCAAAAATGTCAAATACAGAAAAAAAGTCAAGTACTAGCTTGTGAATTAAACTGTGGATTTAGAATTAAGATTTTAGACTTTACAGGAAGGGACTGTTAACCAGAGAGCCAAATGGCAGATTTTAGTTAAGGAGCCAGTAGAAGGTGACAAAGTAGAGGTAAGAATATTCCTTCAAAAAGATTGGCAGCTAAAAAAAAAAGAGGCCGGGCGTGGTGGCTCACGCCTGTAATCCCAGCACTTTGGGAGGTCGAGGTGGGTGGATCACGAGGTCAGGAGATCAAGACCATCCTGGCTAACACGGTGAAACACTGCCTCTACTAAAAATACAAAAAAAAAAAAAAAAAAATTAGCCGGGCGTGGTGGCGGGCGCCTGTAGTCCCAGCTACTCAGGGGGCTGAGGCAGAAGAATGGCGTGAACCTGGAAGGCAGAGCTTGCAGTGAGCTAAGATCACGCCACTGCACTCCAACCTGGGCGACACAGCAAGACTCCGTCTCCAAAAAATAAAAATAAAAAAAGGAAGGGAAGCATAAGATGAGAGAGAGGGACACACAAAAAATGGCCATTTGAACCCACACTGTATTTATATTTTATATAGAGTGATCACTTCATAGTCTTTTGAGTCTCCAAGAGGATTGACTTAATTAATGGTTTAATGTCTTTCCTTTCCTGCCTTAGAGAAAAAGGAAGTGACAGAGAAAAATAGGACAAATTATTAAACTTACTTCTGTGATTATTCATTTAAAATATACTGAATACATATGCATACATTCATCCAACAAATATTTATTGGATACCAAGTATGTGCTTGGCACTGTACCAGGCCTTAGGGACACAGAAGAAGAAGTATACAGCAGTGTAAACTGACATTTCTTAACCACTATATAAATAAACCCCACT